>NC_000004.12:91345623-91648653 GCF_000001405.40 Homo sapiens | reverse complement strand
TTAATTCCTAATTTCATATTTATAGTCCTGACTTCTTTCATTATCACCAGACTCATCTATCCATCTACTTTCTTGACATCTCCACTTAGATATTTATTGAAACCTAAATTTCAAAAGGAAGCCACAGCTTTTCCTCTTCCACCACCCTCCCCAAAATCTGTTTCTCCAGCAGCTTCCCACATCTCACAAATCCTAACTCCCTCCTTTCTATTTTCTCAGCCTGGTGGCCTCAAAATCATCCTTCATCTATTAGGAAGTACCAAGAAATCCTGTTGGTTTCAACATTGAAATGCATCCAGAGTTTGACCAGTTCATGCATTTTCTATTCCTTTTAGTTTGGTAGAACCCACATAATCTCATACTTTAAAAAAAAAAAAATTAATGACCTTCTAATTTGTCTTCATAAGTCTATCCTTACCACTTGTACAATCTATTCTTAAAAGAAAAACCAAAGTAATCCTTTTGAAATGTAAGTAAGCTCATGATAGTTCTCTGGCAAAAACTGGCCATTTCCTCTCAGTAAAATCCAAAATCCTTAAAATGTCCTGTTAGTCAAGATGACTAGACTTAGAGGACTAGCCTAGATGACCCAGGCTCCCATGGCTTCTCTGATTTCTCCTACTTTTCTCATCCTGGATCTCTACACTGCAGCAACACTGGCCTCCAAACACTTTCTGGAATATACAAAGTAAACTATCTCAGGACTAAGCTCCAGCTCTCCTCTTTGCCTACAATGTTTTTGTCCTAAATAGCTGTTTGGTCAACTCACACCTCCTTCAAGTCTTTGCTCAAATTTTAACTCCTCAATGAACCCTACCCTTACCATGTCATTTAATATTGCACCTGTTCCACTCACACTATTGCCTGAACTTGTAAACCTAATTGCCCTCCTCTACTTATACTGTTTTCCTGTATAATTTATCATTACCTGTATATTTTGTTATTTTCTTTTTTTACATTTATTTTTATTGTCCCCTTAGCTCAATGTGAACTCCTCAAGGGCAAATATCTTTGTGTTATTCTCTGATATATTGCATGCACCTGTAACAGTGCCTGATGCATAGTAGACACTCAGTAACTGTTGGATAGATGGATGGGTGGATGTGTGGGTGGGTGGATAAATTGATGGATGGATGAAAGCATGAATGAGGACAGGAAAATTTTAAGAGAAAGTTCTCAATTGCAATTATAAGTGCTGAGTATTCCAAAATGTGAATAGATTTAAGTCATTTATTGAATATGAGCTTTATGCAAAGATAATATGAATTAGATAAAATGTATAAACTGCTAGTGTTATTCTATAAGGAGCTACAAAGAACAGAAAAGTGTTTCTCAAGATAGGAATTGAGAATTGTTTGTAGCCAAGGCCTAAAAGAAGTGCCTCTGCAAAATTTTGCTGGGATCCAAAAATGCAAATTTGCCCCATATTTATACTGCATATTTATGTCTGCACTGCTAGACAACATTCCTTCCTAATTCTTTGAGAAAACATGAAAGTGTCAAAGATGAGTTTGAGTAACACAGATTTATAAAATCAAAACAGTATTTGCCTTATTTAAAGTGGATCTCTCTCCATATTTTCAGTATGAAAAAGGAAAAGCAAATAACATGTCAAAATTGTCTTTTAAATCAGATAATAGAGCTTAAGTTGAAAATTATTTATATACTAAAAATTTTAGTTCATTTTTGATATATAGTCCTGACCTCTTTCAATGTCTCAAGACTCGTCTATCTAACTACTTGACTTCTCCGCAAGTGTTCTTGAAGAGCAACATTTGATTTCTCATACACATAAAATCATACAACGATAGTTTTCTTAGCATTAAATAACTGTTTTCTTGGCATTTAATAAGCTGTAAAAACAACATAATAAAAATAGTTTATATTTCACAAAACCTTACATTTGGTACTTGATTCATATATCCTACTTTAAAAAAAGTAAGTCGTGATCTCAGGTACACTAAATCTGCAAAAGATATATTGACTATAACAATTCCATCTGTCAGAACCAAGATCAGAATTTCACATAGTTAATTTAACTGTATAATTTTTTCTGTACATATTTTAATACTTATTTTACTGATAAACCAGAATATAGGAGAAGGAATGAGAATCAAGTGAGGAAATTATCCCCAGATGATGATGTGACTGATGATACATACAGGACACTCAGGGTACTCTGGAACAGACATAGTCTTGGGAATAATTTTCCCCTTTTCAGAGTACTAGTTATTAACCACACTTAATATGGTTTTAAGTATTCTGCTGTCAGAAAATGGGCCCATTTATACCTTTTCAGAACTTTAATGTATTACATATTCAGTAGAACTTGTGTATGTATGTGTTTACCTTGTGTGATTTGTGCTAATTATGAGTGATTCTGAACATCTACACCATAAGGTTCTTCATAAATGAAGATTACCCAGTCCTTTAAGACTAGTATGCTTGCTCAAACAGTCAGGCAGTGAAGGTCCATCTAATTATTCAGCATCCACATTTGAATGCTAATTTGTTCCTCTTGTTTAATATATGATCTAATTTATTTCTCACAACAGACTTTTGAGGTAGATATTTTATCTTTGTTTTAATGAAGAAGTTAAATGCTGTTACATGCAAATGTGGACATGTTCTAGATCTAAACATATATTCCTTCAAAGTGTCATATTTATCTGTGGCTGACCTTTAAATATCTTCTCTACAGAGAGAGTTCTGTATTGTTTTCGCTCTCTTCCAACTTCTAAACATATTCAACACCTCAATCACCATCATTTGGAATCTGATGAAGTAGGCTTATAAGAGGTACAGAGAAATAGGGAAACAAGATGACAAATAAATTCATGGATTTGGCCATTAGAATAATGGTTTGACTTTCCTTGGAAGAAAGAGTATTACATACATGGGTAACTGATTCATAGATAGTTTTGTTCCATGGATTAATCCATCTAGCTTGATGTCAGAACCTCAATGAAGACGTAAGAATCATGGATCTCTTATAGGCAAGACTGAAGAACCATATGGCTGATGAAAAGTGAGTGAAGTGGAGTGGCATAAGAGAACTGAGCATAAGATAGATGTAAGAGGGAAGTGGAGGGCATATTTGGCTTTATAGAACATTTTTAGTGTTGATTTCAAGTGCAATGAGAATCCAAACAGTAAAATCAATTCATGTTTTATTTATTGAATAAATTGGCAGGAATTGTTGGAAAATATGAGACAAATCATGAACAGAAAGCTAAAATTAAATGTAGAGATTTTACATTCCTTCTTCACACTGAAAACAAAAAATGACATTCAATGGCCAATCTCAGGAATTATAATTCAGTAAATCTATTTGAAAAGTTTTATAAGTAGTGATACATTATAAGTAAGGATCATACTCTTGCACTAAATTATTTCTACAAATACAGCCTATTTAGGCTTTCACAACCTCAGTGGATTATAAGTCTTCTTTATATCTCAAAAGGTTTACTAGTATTATGCATTGGTAATATATGGGGGTAATGGAACACACAAGTAAGAATCTAGAATTTCTTTAATATTGATATAAAGAAGAAAAAGCAAATAGCTTAAAGCATTGCCTATTTATTCATTTTCTTTTCCATTAGGAGGTTTTATGATGTTTTTCTTGTTTCTGTTTTTCTGAAAATATCTTTATTTTACTTTTTTAACTCATACAATCTTTATTGAAATATAAACCACATGCTATTAAATTCACAATTTTAAAGTATTTTTTAGTATATTCACAAATTTGGGCAACCATCACCACTATCTCATTTCAGAATATTTTCAACTCCTTTCTAGCCATTAGCAATAACTTCCCATTGCCCCCTCCCCACAGACTCTGGAAGCCGCTAATCTACTATCTCTTTCTGTCAATTTGCTTATTGAGGACATTCCATATGAATGGAATTCTACAATATGTGCATTGTTGTGTCTGGCTTCATTCACATAGCATAATATTTTCAAAGTTCATCTATGATGTGGCATATATCAGTACTTCATTCCTTTTTATCAGTGACTATTTTTAATTGTATGTGTATACCCTTTATCCATGTGTCAGTTGATAGACCTGGGGTTCATCATATGGTTGTTATAAATAATACCGCTATAAACATTACTGTACATTTTTTTGTGGACATCTGCTTTCAATTCGCTTGGATATTAACTAGAAAGATCTTAATTTTATTTTTCAGTAATAGCATGGAAGAATCTTTAGCTCTACATATAATGATAGAAACTGTTATGAACTAAATGTTTGTGTCAGCCCAAAATTTATATGTTGAAGTCAAATCCCCCAGTGGGGCAGTTATTTGCAGAGGAACCGTCTAACACAGTGATTAGGGTTAAATGAGGTTTTGGTGGGGTTAGTATCCTCATAGGAAAAAAACACCAGAGAGCTCACTGCCTCTCTTTCTGTGCATAAATACTGAAGAAAGGCCATGTGAGGATATAGCAAGAAGTTGGCTGTCTGCAAGCCACAATGAGCCCTCATGAGAAACTAAGTTAGCGAAAATCTTCCTGGACTTCTAGCCTCCAGGACAGTGAGAAAATAAATTTCTGTTGCTTAATCCACCCAGACTGTGATTTTTTGTTATCGCAGATCAAGCAAACAAAAACATCAAACTGGGTTACTGCCAAAAACCCTAATTCTGCTTACTTAGCTGACTTTCAGTCACATTATGACTCCCCTAGATGGAATCTCAAGGTTTTAAGGACATAAAAATACTAGGTTGGTGCAAAAGTAATTGCAGTTTTGGCCACTGAAAGTAATAGCAAACCCACAATTACTTTCGCACTAACCTAAAATATATTTCCTCACAAAATGATAAATGACCTTGAAGTTTCAAAACACCTATAATGAATTAGACTCACTGTACCAAACTGCAACTTGGGCCTACTGGTGTTTCATAAGATTTTAAAGACTTTTTAAGATTTTTGAAAAGCCTTCAGAAAATTTTCAAGAAATCTCATGACTTCACATATGAGAGGTGAACACCTGTGAAAAGTAGCTATAACATTTCACATTGCCTAGATAATGCAAACATATCTGGAATATAATTCCAGGATTTTCTGTAGTCTATCACATTAGTTTTTGGTAACAAGGGTCTCCCAGTTCTATAAGGTGAATAGCACATATTCTATATCACTTGTTCCTTGAAGTATTTATTACAATGTCCTCCCATCCCTGACCTTTAATTTTTGTTATTGTTTTTTGTTTTTTACTTTTCTGTCATCTCTGTTCCTATGCTTGTTATCCCACAATAGGATAACTGAGCTGGACTGCTCATCACTCTCTCTGCCTATTCTGTTTTTCCTACAAAATACCATTTATGCACACAGGTACAAATTTTATATTCTTAAAGCTCAGCATTCACTATGCTAATCCATTACTTTAAAACCTTCAGAGTTCCCTCAGTGTTTATAAGATTTGCACACTCCTTAGCCTGACATTTTGGGCTCACCACAACTTTTATCTTAACATTAGTGCATCAATATTGGTTTCGCTGTCTTTTGTCCTATTATGTAACTTGCATTCCCATTGCTCAGGCGCTTTCAACCAGGGGTAATTTTCATCCTCCTCCCCACAGGGACATTGGCAATATTTAGAGACATTGTTTTTTCCACTACAAGGAAGGGTTGTGCTACTGGCTTCTAAGTAGGTAGATTACAAGATGAAGCTAAACATCCCACAATGCATGGAACAGCCACCTACAGCAAAGAGTTTTTGTTAGTGGTTAATAATAATTAATAATAAGTGCTAATAGTTCCAAGTTTGAGAAACATTTAGTAGAGCTTAAGTCCCAGCATGCTTTTTTTTTGAACGACTCTGTCTTATTTGTTACATATCTTATCTACTCTTCAAGGTTTAGCACAAGTTCTTTATGAAGTCATCTTTGAAAACGTAGACCCTGTCTTCTGCATCCTGTAACCACACATTTTTGTTGTTGTTGTTGGATCCATTTGGCACTGATCATATACTATGTTGGTATGTAAAAGTCCAGCTTTTATATTTGCAGTATGTATCTTCCAAATATAGTTCAAAAACTTTAAGCAAAGTCACAGACTTTTAAACATGCCTTATTTTGATTACAGGTATTCTGAGGATTTTATCTTGCTAGAAAATGTAAGTGTGAAATTCTAACATACTTCTGAAAATCAGATTCTTTTACACACTACTATTAATAACCCTAGTGTCAGAAATAAATAAATTCAAAACAGTAATCAGTGTTGATAATTAAAGTAAAAAAAGTATTTCAGTTAATATATTTGACAATTGGCTTTCCTTTTTTGGTGTAATGCATATATGTCTAATTGTTGCTTATGAGGAAAGGATTTTCTAATTCTTTTGTGAAGTTGTACATTGATTTGAAAATATAAGCTTTCTTATGGGCTAAGTAAGCTTTGATCATACCATTGTTTATACATGATTATTAGATTATAGGGTGGAAAAATATTTATTCTCTCTTCAGTTTTGATTCTCTCTTCAGTTTTGAATGAATGAATACATAAAATTCATTTTCAAACTATGCCTGCTTTCTCTATCCCTGCTATAAACTTTTCTCTTGCAGCATTTAAAATTAGTTGCAGTGCAGCCTAGAAATTTTACTCTAAAGAATGCTCTTCTGTCTTTTCTCCTTCTTTGTTTCCTGCAAGAAAAACCTTAGAAAGATGAAAGTGAATAATGATGGCATTTTTTATTTGTGTTTTAAAGGGAGGGTAACTCTTCATGCAAGTCCATTTAGTAAAAATTTACATGATGGAAAATGAGGAATAAACTACTGCTTTTCTGCATCATGAAATCCATGTACTGTTTTATGCAGCTGTAAAATAGATGACCGCTTTCCATAATCCACACGGATGCCAAGCACATCTACATAGTACCCACTTGCTCCCAAGTGTTTAGAATCCCACTTGAGCAAGCACTGGGAAGAGGAATCTGAATTCATGTTCCTTAAAGATGTATCTGGCCTCTGTGCTCTAGCAGAATCCTGCTCTGGGAATGGAAATGTACATTCTAGAGAAAGCCTGATTGTTAGGAGGCAAGCTAATTTTATTAAAACCATTTTTATCTCCCTCTTGCTTAAAATAAGTAAAAACATTATTTCAAAGTCTGAGCAAAGCCTATCAATCTTCCTTAATTAGTTTAAGAAAAATGTCTATATCACTGAAATAGAAAAGTAACTATCAAATTACTCCATTTGGAAACAGATATATGCAAATTCCTCTCCCAAAAGGTGTGATCAAATTTAAACCAAATAGGGCATCAATATTGAAGTTTTATTTTTTAATTTTATTTAATTTAAATACCATTAAAATATTGATCTCCATTACACGTGTCTGTATGTATTATTAGTGTTTATTTCCTAGATTTGTTGTAAAATTTCATTTGTTTCTGCCAATGTAGCCTTGCCCACATAACTTCTAGATATTTTCTCACTTAAAACTACACATTACTATCTCCATTTTATAGAGGGTAAACCAAGGTATAGACAAGCTGTGTTTCTGCCTAAGCAAGTAAGTAGTGAAGTCAAGAGTTCAACCAGACAAGTTGGTTCAAGAGTTTGGGAAAAACAAGATAATCTCTATCAAATGCATTGGCAAATTAAAATTGGTACTGCTTTTGAATATGGCCATACTGTATATTACACACTCCAAAAATATTTCCTTAGGAAAAATAAATCTATGGTATTTTTGAAGATATTTTTATAAAACTTTTTAAGTGCTGCATGCTAATCAGCAAATCATTATAAGCTGTGAAAAGAATCAAATAATTTAACCTGGTGACATACTTTGAATGGCTGGTACTAGATGAAAAACATATAGGCATCATATTGCTAATTTGAAAGTATTTCATTGTGAATAAGTCGGCTTGCTTAGGGGCTTATGAAAATACTATATGGAGGAAATCATTGATTTCCCATTAAGATAAGCTATGAAGGTACAAATATTTAGCCTATGACTTAAACATACATTCCTTCCATTTTGTTGACATTGAGTAAAAGGTTAACAAAGTGTCTTACTGTTGAAGACTAGATTTTTAAAATCATAATTTGAAAAACGGAATCCAATCTCTCTATCTCAAGCATACTAGCCATTTCTCCAACCTGAAACACTTTATACTCTCCTCAATGTCAAAATTCAATCTCTCTAATCTTCGAATTTTTGTTTTACATTCCCTTTCCTCTCATAAATATCCCCAGATCAATACTGCTAAGATTCACAATAAAAATTAATACAAACATTAGCACTCATCTGTACATAAAGTCTCAAGATTCTATGGTAGTAGTCAAAGGTTATATAACATGTCCTATGATCTATCTTTGTCAGTAGACTCTAAGCTACTTTATTTTTTATTGTTATCATTTTTATTATTTTTTTAGATGAAGTTTCACTCTTGTTGCCCAGGCTGCATTACAATGGTGCAATCTTGGCTCACTGCAACCTCCACCTCCTTGGTTGAAGCGGTTCTCCTGTCTCAGCCTTCAGAGTAGCTGGGATTACAAGTGCGCACCACCATGCCCAGCTAAATTTTTTTGTGTTTTTAGTAGAGACGGATTTTCACCATGTTGGCCAGGCTGGTATCAAACTCCTAACTTCAGGTGACCTTCCCACCTAGGCCTCCCAAAGTGCTGGGGTTACAGGCATGAGCCACCATGCCCAGCCTCTAAGCTACTTTAAAACAAGAATCCAGGCTCCTATTTCCTTTAAAAATTAACCAAAGAACTGGTATAGCACTTATATGTCACAATTATGCTTAAAAGAAAACAGGTATCTTCCAAATGAACTAAAAAATGGGAAAACTCTCCCCATGTCCTTACATACTCCCTATTTCCCTTCTCATCCAGTGCACCACTGAAATTTATAAGTGAATTACAATATTCTTTTCTACCTCCGTATTGATCTTGCATCTCTTAAAATAGAACTAGAAACTTACATTCTTGAAATGTTCCAACTAAACTAGGCTTGAGCCAAAATATCATACAATCTTTTCAATGATATGATTACTAAAATTTATCTAATTTAAGTTGATGTTAACTTAAAGACACATTCTCATTTTGGTGATATTAAAATATGAAATAAGCATGTCTTATAATTGAAGATAAATATTAGCTCTCTTTTGTAGATTAATTAGTACACATTATATAGAACATTGTTTTCCATAGTGTATACACATATATGTTAAATATATATTTAAGTTATATACTTAATAAACTATATTTACTTACATTACTATATTTAGTAAACTGTAGTTAAATTGTATATTATCTATCAAGTTATATATAACCAGATAACATTATAAACAAATATGAGAATGCCTGTATCTTTTTATTAATTACAATTTAAAAAGAAATCACTTATAATATGTTATCCATCTTTATAAGCAAAATGAAAATTATGTTATATGTGATATCCACAATTAAGATTTTTTTTCTCTCAGAAACATTCCTGTAAAAATGGTAATGAGTTTTACTTTTTTAAGAATAATAAAGTTTAACCAATAAAATCATTGAATATGAGCTACTATTATATTTTTCCAATCAAATATACCAGGCTATAAAATAAATACTTCAATAAATTATTAGTAAATACCTTTACTTCAGAAATTCTATGTTATTTCAATATAAGACATGAACATTTTATTGTCTACCTCATATATTTGGATAATTTGGCACAGCTTCATGAAATATATTTTCTTGATTTAGGAAACAAATTTTCTTTACCTGGAAAACAATTATTCTTAATACAGCAATTGTATATATTTGTAGAGCTTCATCCTTAACCTGATGCAAATTTTTGCTTGAATGTCACCCTTAAAAAATAATAGTCTTTTTTAAAGCAGTTTAAGGTTTACAGAAAAATTGAGCAAAAAGTACAGTATATACTTCCTATCCTCCCTCAACTATCCCCTTCCTGACTTCTCCAGCTACTAACATTTTGCATTACTGTGGTGCATTTGTTACAACTGATTAACTGTTATCTGTATCTTATTATTAACTACAGTCCATAGCTCGTATTCGTGTTCACTCTTTGTGTTGTGCATTTTATGGATTTTGATAAATGTATAATGACATGTATTTGCCATTATAGTAGATTACATAGACATTACACATTAACATTATTAATGTTAATTAAACATCACACAGAATAGTTTCACTGTCTTAAAAATGCCCTATGCTCCACCTATTCACTGCTCTCTCCCTTCCCCAAAGTCAC
Source organism: Homo sapiens (assembly GCF_000001405.40). Taxonomy (NCBI): domain Eukaryota; kingdom Metazoa; phylum Chordata; class Mammalia; order Primates; family Hominidae; genus Homo; species Homo sapiens. Next base: position 91,638,438 of record NC_000004.12, on the reverse strand, counting down.
TCATCCTTTTATTGTCTTCATAGTTTTACCATTTCCAGACTGTTATGTAGTTGGAATCATATAGTAAATAGGCTTTTTGAATTGGCTTCTCTCACTTAGCAATATGTATTTAAGTGTCTCCAGTCTCTTTTTGTGATTTGTAGCTCATTTCATCACTGAATAATATTTCAGTATATAGGTGTACCATATTTTGTTTATCTACTCACCTATTGGAAGACATCTTGTTTGCTTCCAAGTTTCGACAATTATGAAGGAAACTGTTAGGGTTCATTCATGTCAGGTTTTTTTTTTTTTTTCCTGAATGTGAGTTTTCAACTCACTTGGGTAAATACCAAGAAACTCAATTATAGGATCATATGGTAAGTCTATTTTTAGCTTTGGAAGAAACCACTAAACTTTTCCAAAGTGTCATTTTCATTCCCAATGCCAATGAATAACCATCCTTGTCACTCCACATCCTCACCAGCCTTTGCCATTGAAACTAAAGGTCCCCTACCCCATCCCTCACCCAACCCTTTCACTTATTATATTACTTCCAAAAACCTTTAGATATTTGATTCTGTGACCCCTGTTCTTTACGCCATATTTCACCAATGATCTCTTCTATAAATGACATAGGTTTTCGTATTTTTTTTTTAATTTGGCCTATAGGTATTATTTTTCTAGAAAGTAATTAAGATGTATCAAAGTCACCCTGAACATTAGATGACTGAGTAGCAATATCTATATATGCAAAGCTACCATTTTCATATGCACATACCAAATAAATACATAAAATCTCATCAGCTGTTCATAAACCTATAAATTTTAGTGGGGAAAAAGTAATATTTCTGAAAATAGAACACCATTTACTACAAAAAGTGTGTTCATTTAAGTAGTCCATGTATCTTCCATATATAGTATAGAACTCACAAAATAAAAACAAAAAAATGTATTCAATCACAGAATGATTTATTGAATAATTATTGAACACATACCATAGGCCAAATACTGAACAAAGTATTGGAATGAAGAAATGTAGAGATACTAAAAATTACCTTCCCTGGAAAGCTGTGGTGCAATTTGTAATTTTCTTAGAAACCCCTGTGCCTGATTTTTTTAGATGTACAATATTAGTTGAGATTGTCACCCAAGCCTTAGGGGAATTCTCTTTATTGAGGCATTTTCCCCCTCAAACTGCATTTTTCAGTGTGTGTTTATTACCTAGCAACCAAACCATAAAAAAACGAATGTTACAACTTAGATTGATAGGGTTTCTTGGTAGCTGTAGTATAAAATATTTTTTATGATGAAACCCATAGAAATTTCCTCCACAACAACAAAGGATTTAAGAATTATTGTACAGCTTTCTCACTTTAGGAAAACACATTTCAGCTTTCAGGGATTCCTGATTGATATTCTTTGAAATACCACACTAGTAAATGATACCCTACATACTCAAATCATCTTTTTGTCTGTAGAATGATAGGCCAACATAGTATAAACCTTCTTGTGACAGATCGACTACCTCCCGTTTGTCATCAAATGACAGCATCATTTCAGATCATGGTGGAGCCTCAACAAATGTGACCAGGAAGAAACACTCACCCTGGGCAATGCTTTCTATTTGGCTTCCCCTGGATATGTGAATGATCTTGCAAAACCATTTTACTTACTTCTAAAGATGAATCCCACTCTAAAATCTGTATTATGACTCTAAACACAGTTAACATTAACCTTGAGAAGCAGTGTGCTTACAGGTCAAGACCCTCATCTCTGAAGCCAGATTGACTACATTTAAGCCATACCTCTTCACATCTTAGCTGTGTGACCTTGGATAGCTTACTACTTAGTCACTCTGTGCCTCAGTATCCTCTTTTGTAAAATGGAGAAATGATAACACCTCTCTCACAGGATTGTTTTGAGATTAAAAAAAGGTCACTAATGCAATGTGGGCATGTTACAGTAGAGCATATAGTAAATATTCACTAGACAGTAGCTATTATTATGAGATATGTTTATCCTTTTGGAATGTCACAAAAGTGCATGGGATCCTGATTCTGCTTGGTGATCTTTGCATTTAGTGTATATTGACTTCCTCCACTATCTCCAACAGTGGGCCTTTGAAAAGCTTTCTGCAATCTTCAAATCCCCAGCAGTACCTTTTACTTTCATTAGGTGACCTTCCTGCCTACCGTACTAAAACGACTGAGGTGCTCTAAAGATAAATCCTTTAGTGCCCTCTTTCCATTTAAAAATGCCTCTGGGCCATTGTGTTGCTACTCTTACTTTTCTATTGATGTTTAGGAAGAACACTCCCTCTTTCTTATCAAAGCTAACTACTCTGCTTATGCGCTTGATTTCGTTTCTCCTCTCTTGTCTGAGTTTACCAAGTGCTTACTCTCCTGTTAGCAAGGATATAGTCTGCAATTGTCCCCTAGCTGTCTCCTCTTATTCAGAGTGACTGTTATATCCAGCATTCTGGGGAAAGTACTACTTTATGCCTGTTGTAAATCAAATAGCATGGTTATTATTTGGCATCTTTTTTCACTCTCAAAAATGTCCCAGTTTGGACAATAAGTGTATAAGTTCATTCTGTTGTAGGCTACAAATACAACTATGTCTTCCTTTGCCTCCAAAACAGTCAAATATGAAAATATATTTTCCTTTAACAATATTATCTTCTCTCTGTGCAATTTCTTATGCCATTCTTTTCAGTCTTTTAAATAACTCTTCTTTATCCTCTAACCCATAAATATAGACATTATGAAATCTGATACTCATCTTTTATTCTTTCCTTTCTCATTTCTCTTCTTTCATTTTACTAACTTCAGTATTTCAATCACTTCCTGTCTGCCTGTGAAACTCCAATATATTCCTCTATTTCCAAGCACCCCACTGAATCTTGGTCCTGCATTTTCAAGTCCTAGCTGTATATCTTCCCCTGTATTTCATTTCTGTTCTTTGAGCCCACATTAGATTTTTGTTTTTTTAATGTATGATAATCAAATAGCCAGCTCCCTTGCCTCTAATGTCTTATTTCTCTCATTTAGCCTGCCTTCGCTGCCAGAATAATTTCTCAGAAACTCAGAATTTATAAAAAATAAACATCTCCAAAACCTCATCCTGAAATTCAAGATGCTTAATAATATTACCCAAACTGATTTTCAAACATTTCATTGTAGAATCACATCTGGTAGAAGATTTTATTCCTTGTGTTTGAACATACCTTGAACTGGTTTATTTTTAGCTTAATCAAATATGTTTTGGAAAGGAGACAACTAGGAGAAGAGCTTTACAGATGTATATGATAAAATACTTGTGAATTATAAGAATTTTGTACCTAGGAAATATGTGAAATCAGGGACTTTGGACAGTTAAATGTCTTAGTAATATCCAGAGCTTTGAAAAAATGGGCACTATAATTCACAAGTTGTTGTGACAGCAGACAGAGTCCTTTGTAATGTTAAAAAATGTTAACATGCTGAGTTGTACATAAATGTTTTCTGACCAGCATGTTGAGAGATGTCTAGCTGGAAAGGTTAATCATACTTCTTGATATTTATGCATAACTTGATATAGTGAATACTCAACTCCTCAGTTGGCTTTCAGGATATTATAGTCTTCTTGTTTTTCATTTACCTCATTGGCCATTTCTTCCTAGTACATGTTATTAATGTTTCCTCCCACAGTATTTACTTCTTCATTATCTACTTTTTTTCCCACAAATTACTGCTCTAGATAATCTTACCAAGTCCAGTGGTTTAAAGAGAACCTGCATGGCAAAGAATTAAAATTTACAGCTCTGACTTATCTCCTGATATCCAGGGCAATAGCATTAACTACTTCCTCAACATTTCCATTTGGATGTCTAAAAAGCTTCTCAAAATTAACAGATCCAAAAGATAAGTCTTAATTATATTGTATTTGCCAAATAAACACACAAACAAACAAAAAACCTTCTTTGTATAGTCTTACAGTTCAGTAAATGTTGCCACCTTTTTTTCAATTTTTTCAGACCAAAAGGTCAGGATTTGTTTTTAATTCCCTTCCTTCCTGCAGCTCCATATTACTTCCAGAAGAAAAATTCCTGAAAGAGCTACCTTCAATATATTAACCCAGACACCAAACAGTGCTACTATCTAGCTTAATCTACCAGTCTTTATCATCACTCTCTTCCTCATAGTAAGGTTAAGAGAGACTAGGTTTGGGAAAAAAAGAAATTTAATATAGTCACTATCAAGGCAATAAATACCTTTGGTAAGGTTGCTGAATCCAAATATACTAGCTGGCCAGTCAATGTGGTCATAAGGATGGCTGTGCCATGACGCTATAAGTGCAGGGCAATTTCTGAGGACTACTATTTTATCTTTGTTCAAAGGTAGAAGATATTGGATTGTAAAGAATAGGGTGGATCTGAGTGAGAGATAAGATGTCTCTCCTAATCTTAAAGCTGAATGAGAAGTTTGAAGTCTTGTAACAGTGGTAACTATGCCAAATCAGTGTGGTAGACTGTCACCCAGGTGGTAATAAATTCCTGTCATGTGGAAGACCCAACAATTTAGGCATTTGAGGAAGTGGACACAAATCTCAGCCTAGAATATGAAAAAAAAAAATGGGCTATTTTGGTGATCTGGGACCCAGATGATGGTTTTAAGTTCTGGAGCTTTAGTATATGCCTGTAGGGACTTGGCAGAAGTAGATGTCGAAGTAAAATGAGAAGGGGTGGTATGTGCAAATGTGGAAGGATTTACGGTTTTCATAACCTCTGGCGAGCAGCAGAAGTTAAAACAGGAGCAATCCTTTTGCACGCCGAACACACTTTAATCCATAGGCACTTTTCCAGTACGACAGAAGAGAGGAACATTATTGTGAAATATGATTAGGTTTGTGTGTTATAATAAGCAGGTCTCCAACTCCATATTTCTTTGTGTAATTTGTATGGCAGCCTTACATTCTGACCCCGGCCTTGTGTTTTTCTTGCTGTATGGACTATAACTTATGAGGTTACTTACATAGAGGCAAATGGTAAGTCTGCAAAATACCATTCTATGGGGTCATCTTTGGTGTCCTTTCCCTAGTGTATGTTCTTGACTTCACTTGGCTGTAAATATGTAGATTTATTTCTGGGTTCTCGATTCTGTTCTATTGGTCTACACATCTGTTTTAACACAAATACCATGCTAATTTGTTTACTATAGCTTTGTAGTATATTTTGAAGACATGTGATGTGATACCTCTAGCATTGCTATTTTTGCTCTTTGGGGTTTAATTGGCTTTTTGGGGTCTTTTGTGTTTCCACATAAATTTTAGAATTGCCTTTTTCTTCTATACCTGTGAAAAATGTTATTGGTAGATTTGTAAGGATTGCATTAAACCTGTAGACTGCTGTGGACAGTTAGATCATTTTAACAATATTACTGTTCTCAATTCACATGCATGAGAAGTCTTTCCATTCTTTTTGCCTTTTCAATTTCTTTCAAATGTTCTTCCTCAAGTCAAAGAAAATTTGACTTCCTCTTTTCCAATTTGTATGTGCTTTATTCTTTTTCTCTTGCCTAATTGCTCTGGCTAAGACTTCTAGTATATGCTGAATAAAAGTCGTGAAAGTGAGCATCCTTTTCTTGTTACATTTCTTAGAACAAAGGCTTTCACTATTTTATTATTCATTATGAGTTACATGTGGGTTTGTCATATTTGGCCTTTATTGTGTTGAGGTATGTTTCCTCTATGCCTAATTTGTTGACTGTTTTTATCATGAAGGGATGTTGAATTTATCAAATACTTTTTCCACATCTACTGAGATAATTACATGATTTTTATTCTTTATTTAATTGATACATTATATCACATTCATTGATTTGTATATATTGAACCATACTTACACCTTCATATGAATCCCACTTAATTATGGTGTGTTATCTTTTTTATGTGCTATTGGATTTGATTTGCTTGTGTTTTGTTGAGGATCTATGTTTATCAGGGATACTGTTCTGTAGTTTTGTTTTGTTGTTTCTTTGTCTGGTTTTGGTATCAGGGTAATGCTGGCCTTGTAGATTAGGTTTGGGAAAACTCCCCCCTCCTCTTCAGTTTTTTTGGATACTTTAATAAGAATTGGTATTAGTTTTCATTTTAAAGTTTGATAGAATTCAGCAGTAAAGCCATCCAGTACTATGGTTTACTTTATTGGGGAACTTTTCATTACTCATTCAGTCTCATTACTGATTATTAATTTGCTCAGGTTTTCTATTTCTTTATGGTTCACTCTTGGTAAATTATGTGTGTCCAGGAATTTATCCATTTACTCTAGGCTTTCACAACTGTTTGGTGTACAGTTGTTTGTAATAGTCTCTAATTATCCTTTATATAGCTGTGGTGTCAGTTATTATATATCCTTTTTCTTTTCTGATTTATTTTGGTAATCTCTCTTTTTTTTTAATCTAGTTAATGGTTTATCACTTTTGTTTATCTTTCTAAAAAAAAGCAACTTTTTGTTTCATTGATATCTTGTATTCTTTTTGTCTCTATTTCATTTAATTCTGCTCTGATCCTATTTCCTTCCTTCTACTAATTTTTGGTTTGGTTTGTTCTTGCTTATCTAGTTCCTTGAGGTACACCATTAGGTTTTTTTTTTTTTATCTAAGATCTTTTATTTTTGAGACAGAATCTTGCTCTGTTGCCCGGGCTGGAGAGCAATGGTGCAATCACAGCTCCCTACAGCCTTGAACTCCTGAGCTTATGCCATACTTCTACGACAGCCTCCTCACAAGCTAGGACTATAGGAACACACCACCACAACACCATGCCCAACTAATATATATATACATACAAATAATTACGAGATGGGGGTTTCATTATATTGTCCAGGCTGGTCTTGAACTCTTGTCCTCAAGTGATCCTCCAATTTCAGCCTCCAAAAGCAGTGAGATTACAGGCAGGAACTGTACCTGGCCAAAACATGTCTACTTTTATGATGTAGGCATTTATTGCTATAACTTTCCTTCTTAGAACTTGCTGTTTTACGCCACTGGTTTTGATATGTTGTTTCCATTTAAATTTGTTTCAAGAAAATTTTTTAAATTTTTTCTTAATTTCTTTATAGATGTGTTGGTCATTTAGGGGCATGTTGTTTAATTTCAATGTATTTGCATGGTTTCTAAAGTTCCTTTTGTTATTGATTTCTAGTTTTAATTTATTGTGATCTAAAAAGATACTAAATATAATTTTGATTATTTTAAATGTGTCAAGACTTACAGTATGACCTAAAATATAGTCTCTCCTAAATAACATTCTATGTTCTGCTGAGAAGAATGTTAATTCTATAGCTGTTGGATAAAATGTTCTATGTTTGTTAAATCAATTTTTTCCATAGTGCAGTTTAAGTCCAGTGTTTCTGTGTTGATTTTTTTAATCTACATGTTTAGTGAAATGCTGTAAGTGGGATGTGAATGTCCACAATCATTGTTCTGTTAGGGTCTATCTTTCTCTTTAGTGCTAATGACATTTGCTATATCTGGATGCTCCAGTGTTGCATACTTTTGGGTGTTGTTGGGTATTATTTATAGGTAGATTTAAAAAAATTCAGCCAGTCTATATCTTTTAATTTGAGAATTTATACCATTTATATTCAATTTTCTTATTGATAGGTTAGAACTTACTCTTGCCATTTTGTTAATTGTTTTCTGATTTTTTGGTATACCTTTTATTTCTTTCTTTCTTATTGTTCATCTCTGTGGTTTGGTGGTTTTCTGTAGTGATAGTGCTTGATTCCTTTATCTTTCTCATTTTTTATCTGTTCTACTAGTGAATTTTATACTTTGAGCATTTTCCTGATGCCAGATATGTCCTTTCTCTTCCAAATGAAGGATTCTCTTAAATGTTTCTTATAGAGTGAGTCAAGTGATGAATTCCCTTAGTTTTTGTTTGTCTGAAAAGTAATTTATTATTCCTTCATTACTTAAGTATAACTTTTCTTGGTATAGTATTATTAGATAACAATTATTTTCTTTCAACACAATAAATATACCATTTCATCCTTTCTTGGCCTGAAATATTTCTGCTGGGAAATCCATTTTTAGTGCTATGGTGATTCTCTTACATGTAACTTGACACTTTTCTCTTGCTGTTTTTAGAATTATCTTTTTGAGTCTTTGACTTTTGACCATAAAACTATAATGCACTTTGGTCAGCACCTTTTGGAGCTGACTATATTTGGGGATATTTAGGCCTCAAGTATCTAGATGCCTATATCTTCCCAAACTTGGGAAACTTGTAGCTCCAATTTCATTACATAGGTTTTCTATGCTCTTTTTCATCTTTTCTCCTTTTAGAATTAAGGAAATGTGAATATTCGTTCACTTAATATTTTCTCATATACTACATAGGCTTTTTGGTTTTATGTTTTTTTTCTGAGTTTGTTTCAAAAGACCTGTCTTCAAATTCAGATATTATTTCATCTGCTTGACTAGTCTATTGTTGAAGCTTTAGATTGTGTTTTTATTTCATTCATTAAACTCTTCAGTGCAAGATTTCTTAAATGTGGTCTCTCCTAAAGAATGGTAGAGGTTGCTGCAACCCCAAAACTGGAGACTCATCTTGATCCAAATTGCTAATCAGTGCATTGAAGTGAAATTTATAGCATTATACTCTCAACAGTCTCAAGATGCTAGCTGACCATGGACACAGCCCGTAGCATGCCCCACATGCTAGATAGCTAGTATGATAGCTGTCTCTTTGTTGAATTTTTTATGATAGCTATTTTCATGCGCGTCCATGTGAAGAGACCACCAAACAGGCTTTGTGTGAGCAACATGGCTGTTTATTTCACCTGGGTGCAGGCGGGCTGAGTCCGAAAAGAGAGTCAGTGAAGGGAGATAAGGGTGGGGCCGTTTTATAGGATTTGGGTAGGTAAAGGAAAATTACAGTCAAAGGGGGTTTGTTCTCTGGTGGACAGGAGTGGGGGGTCACAAGATGCTCAGTGGGGTTGCTTTTTGAGCCAGGATGAGCCAGGAAAAGGACTTTCACAAGGTAATGTCATCACTTAAGGCAAGGACCGGCCATTTACATTTCTTCTGTGGTGGAATGTCATCAGTTAAAGTGGGGCAGGGCATATTCACTTCTTTTGTGATTCTTCAGATACTTCAGGCCATCTGGGCGTATACATGCAGGTCACAGGGGATGCGATGGCTTGGCTTGGGCTCAGAGGCCTGACATTCCTGCCTTCTTATATTAATAAGAAAAATAAAACAAAATATTGTTGAAGTGTTGGGGTGGTGAAAATTTTTGGGGGGTGGTATGGAGAGAGAATGTGCGATGTTACTCAGGGCTGCTTCAAGCGGGATTAGGGGCGGCGTGGGAACCTAGAGTGGGAGAGATTAAGCTGAAGGGAGGTCTTGTGGTAAGGGGTGATATTGTGGGGTTGTTAGAAGAAACATTTGTCGTATAGAATGATTGGTGATGGCCTGGATACGGTTTTGTGCGAACTGAAAAACTAAATGGAATAAGAGAAGGAGAAAAACAGGTATAAAAGGTAGATATCAGCTGTGATGGCTTGGAGAAACAGTGTAAACCAGCAGTGAAAACAAGAGCAGGACATGTATGAGTAGTTGAGAACGGTGAATAGGAGTATGACTGGACAAAAGATAGTAGGGATGACAAGTTTTTTTGGGGCACAGTCTAAGTTGGTCTGTTGTCGAATGAGACTGGGGCCTAATAAAAAGGAGCATCTATACAGGAGCTTAAATGGACTGTACCTTGTAGCATTCTGAGGACAGGCCTGAATTCTGAGAAGCGAAAGTGGTAAAAGTATTGTCCAGTCCTTTTTAATTTGGTGGCTGAGCTTGGTGAGGTGTGTTTTTAAAAGACCTTTAGTCCATTCTACTTTTCTTGAAGATGGAGGACCGTAAGGGATATAAAGGTTTCGCTGAATACTAAGAGCCTGAAAAAATGCTTGGCTGATTTGACTAATAAAGGCTCATCTGTTATCAGACTGTATTGAGGTGGGAAGGCTAAACTGAGGAATTATGTTGACAGAAGGGAAGAAATGACTGTGGTGGCCTTCTCAGACCCTGTAGGAAAGGCCTCTACCTATCCAGTGAAAGTGTCTACCTAGACTAAGAGGTATTTCAGTTATCTGACTCAGGGCATGTTGAGTAAAGCTAATTTGCCAGTCCTGGGCAGGGGCAAATCCTCGAGCTTGATGTGTAGGGAAGGGAGGGGGCCTGAATAATCCCTGAGGAGTAGTAGAATAGCAGATGGAACACTGAGAAGTGATTTCCTTGAGGATAGATTTCCATGATGGAAAGGAAATTAGAGGTTCTGAGAGGTGGGCTAGTGGCTTGTACTATAGCATAGCCTGCCTTTGCTGGTGTGTGGTGATTAGGCCTGGTGGAACCGCCATCAATAAATCAAGCGTGATCAGGGTGAGGAACAGGAAAGAAGGAAATTTGGGGAAATGGGGTGAATATCAGGTGGATCAGAGAGATACAGTCATGGGGGTCAGGTGTGGTATCAGGAATAATGTGGGAGGCCAGACTGAAGTCTGGGCCAGGAACAATGTAATTGTGGGACTTAAAGAGTGAGTACAGCTGAAGGAGCTGGGGAGCAGAAAGTATATGTGTCAGGTATGAGGAAGAAAATAGATTTTGGAAGTTATGAGAACTGTAGAGATTGAGTTGAGCATAGTTTGTGATTTTGAGGGCCTCTAAAAGTATTAAAGCAGCGGCAGCTGCTGCACACAGACATGATGGCTAGGCTAAAACAGTAAGGTCAAGTTGTTTGGACAGAAAGGCTACAGGGTGTGGTCCTAGCTCTTCTGTAAGAATTCTGACCGCACTAACTATGCCTAGGAAGCAAAGGAGTTGTTGTTTTGTAGAAGGTGCTGGGGTTGAGAGACCAGTCGGACACGATTGGCAGGGAGAGCACGTGTGTTTTTATGAGAATTATGCTGAGATAGGTAACAGATGAGGAAGAAATTTGGGCTTGATTGAAGTAATGGGGGCTGTCTGTGAAGCTTTGCAGCAGTACAGCCTAGGTAATTTGCTGAGCTTGATGGGTGTCAGGGTCAGTGCAAGTGAAAGCGAAAAGAGGCTGGGATTAAGGGTGCAAAGGAATAGTAAAGAAAGCATGTTTGAGATCTAGAACAGAATAATGGGTAGTAGAAGGAGGTATTGAGGATAGGAGAGTATATGGGTTTGGCACCACGGGGTGGATAGGCAAAACAATTTGGTTGATAAGGCGCAGATCCTGAACTAACTTGTAAGGCTTGTCTGGTTTTAGGACAGGTAAAATGGGGGAATTGTAAGGAGAGTTTATAGGCTTTAAAATGCCATGCTGTAGCAGGAGAGTGATAACAGGCTTTAATCTTTTTAAAGCATGCTGCGGGATGGGATATTGGCGTTGAGTGGGGTAAGGGTGATTAGGTTTTAATGAGATGGTAAGGGGTGCATGATCGGTCACCAAGGAGGGAGTAGAGGTATCTTATACTTGTGGGTTAAGGTGGGGGGATACAAGAGGAGGATGCAAAGGAGGCTTTGGATTGGGAAGAAGAGAGGCAATGAGATACAGCTGTAGTCCAGGAATAGTCAGGGAAGCAGATAATTTAGTTAAAGTGTCTCAGCCTAATAAGGGAACTGGGCAGGTGGGGATAACTAAAAAGGAGTGCTTAAAAGAGTATTGTCTAAGTTGGCACCAGAGTTGGGGAGTTGTAAGAGGTTTAGAAGCCTGGCCATCAATACCCACAACAGTTATGGAGGCGAGGGAAACAGGCCTTTAAAAAGAAGGTAATGTGGAGTGGGTGCCTCCGTATTGATTAAGAAGGGGACGGACTTACCTTCCACTGTGAGAGTTACCTGAAGCTCAGCGTCCGTGATGGTCTAGGGGGCTTCGGAGGCAATCGGGCAGTGTCAGTCTTCAGCCGCTAAGCCGAGAGGGAGTCAGTCAGAGAGCCTTGGGCCAGAGTTCCAGGGGCTCTGGGAGTGGCTGCCAGGTGAGTTGAACAGTCCGATTTTCAGTGGGGTCCCACAAAGATGGGATGCGGCTTAGGAGGAATTCCGGGCTGCGGGCATTCCTTGGCCCAGTGGCCAGATTTCTGGCACTTGTGGCAAGCTCCTGGGGAGGAGGTTCTGGAGGAACGCCTGGCTGCTGCGGTTCAGGCGTTTGGAAGTTCTTGTGTGCTGGAGATGTGGCTGGGGTTTGTCTCACAGTGGAGGCAAGGAATTGCAACTTATTTCTATTATTGTACACCTTGAAGGCGAGGTTAATTAAATCCTGTTGTGGGGTTTGAGGGCCGGAATTTAATTTTTGGAGTTTCATTTAATTTCGGGAGCAGATTGGGTAATAAAATGTATTTTGAGAATAAGATGGCCGTTTGACATTTTAGGGTCTAGGGCTGTAAAGTGTCTCAGGGTTGCTGCCAAACAAGTCATGAACTGGGCCGGATTTTTATATTTGATGAAAAAGAGCCTAAACGCTATCTGATTTGGGATAAAGAAAAAGGAGCATTAACCTTGACTATGCCTTTATCTCCAGCCACCTTTTTAAGAGTAAATTGCTGGGCGGGAGGGGGAGGGCTAGTCACGGAACGAAACTGTAAGCCAGACCAGGTGTGAGGAGGGTAGGTGATAAAAAGATTATAGGGTGGAGGAGCAGAGCCTGAGGAAGAATTGGGATCTAGCTCGGCCTGGTGAGGAGCAGCCTGGGGAGGAAGGGAGAGGTCAGATGGGTCTGTAGAAAAGGAAGATTAGAAAGACTCAGCGAGGCTTGGGGTTGGTACTGAGGGGACAGGAGAGAGGGAAAGAAGGAAGATTTGGGACGAGTTGCACTGGGTACAGAGACTAGGAAGGGACTGATGTGTAAAAGAATGCCTGGACATCAGGCACCTCAGACCGTTTGCCTATTTTATGACAAGAATTATTTAGATTTTGCAGGATGGAAAAATTCAAAGTGCCATTTTCTGGCAATTTGGAACTATTGTCGAGTTTGTATTGGGGTCAAGCAGCATTGCAGAAGAAAATAAGGCATTTAGGTTGTAGGTCAGGTGTGCGTTGAATTTAAGTTTTTGAGAACGTAGACCAAGGGAGTAGTAGGAGGAATGGAGGGTGGAAGCTTGCCCATAGTGAAGGAAGCAAGCCTATCGAAAAGAGAGAGTAGAGAAACGGAGGGAAGGGGTTTGGGGGTTCTTACCTTCCAGAAAAGTGGGAAAAGGGGTTGCAGCTTAGAGATAAGGGTCGGGGCATGGAAATAAGGGATGGGGTGCAGAAATAAGGGGTCGGGGCACGGAAATAAGGGATTGGGGTGCAGAGAGAGGGGGTGCGGAAATAAGGGATTGGGGCACAGAGATACGAGGTTGGGGTACTTGCCCCTCCTCTAGAAAAGCGGGACTTGCCGCTAAGAATGAAGGAGAAGGGGTTGAGGCGTACTTGCCCCTCTCCCAGAAAAGCGGGACTTGCCGCTAAGGGTGAAAGAGAAGGGGTTGAGGCGTACTTGCTCCTCTCCCAGAAAAGCAGAGAAGGGGTAGAGACAAGGAGAGAAGGGTTTGGGGTACTTGCCCTGTCCCTGGAAAAGCAGAGAAGGGGTAGAGACAAGGAGAGAAGGGGTTGGGGTACTTGCCCCTTCCCCAGAAAAGCAGGACTTGCCGCTAAGGACGAAGGACCAAGGCAGGCATCCCTGCGTGGTCTGACACCCTTGAAACATGGGTGTATAATCAGAGAGGCATCCCTGCAAGGATTAAACACCAAGGGAAGGCTGCCTTCCCATTCCGTGACGAGCGCCGGAGTTTTGGGTCCACGGATAAAATGTGTCTCCTTTGTCTCTCCCAGAAAATGAAACAAATTGAAATTAAGCCCTGTCCCCAGAAAAGCAGAGAAGGGGTAGAGACAAGGAGAGAAGGGGTTGGGGTACTTGCCCCTTCCCCAGAAAAGCGGGACTTGCCGCTAAGGGTGAAGGACCAAGGCAGGCGTCCCTGCGTGGTCTGACACCCTTGAAAGGTGGGTGTATAATCAGAGAGGCATCCCTGCAAGGATTAAACACCAAGGGAAGGCTGCCTTCCCAGTGTGACTGGCGCCAGCGTTTTGGGTCCACGGATAAAATGTGTCTCCTTTGTCTCTCCCAGAAAATGAAAGGAATTGAAATTAAGGGAAGGGAGAGATTGAAGAGTGGAAAGGAGAAAGTGGTTGAGGGACAGTGAGAGAGGTTGGGGAAGAGAGTAAGAAGAGGCCGCTTACCTGATTTAAAATTGGTGAGATGTTCCTTGGGCTGGTGGGTCTGAGGACCTGAGGTCCTAGGTGGATCTTTCTCATGGAGCACAGAACAGGAGTACAGGGGATTGATCTCCCAAGGGAGGTCCCCCGATCCGAGTCAAGGCACCAAATTTCATGGGTGTCCGTGTGAAGAGACCACCAAACAGGCTTTGTGTGAGCAACATAGCTGTTTATTTTACCTGGGTGCAGGCGGGCTGAGTCCGAAAAGAGAGTCAGCGAAGGGAGATAAGGGTGGGGCCGTTTTATAGGATTTGGGTAGGTAAAGGAAAATTACAGTCAAAGGGGATTTATTCTCTGGCGGGCAGGAGTGGGGGTCACAAGGTGCTCAGTGGGGGTGCTTTTTGAGCCAGGATGAGCCAGGAAAAGGACTTTCACAAGGTAATGTCATCACTTAAGGCAAGGACCGCCATTTACATTTCTTTTGTGGTGGAATGTCATCAGTTAAGGTGGGGCAGGGCATATTCACTTCTTTTGTGATTCTTCAGATACTTCAGGCCATCTGGGCGTATACATGCAGGTCACAGGGGATGCAATGGCTTGGCTTGGGCTCAGAGGCCTGACAGCTGTCTCTTTGTTGAATTTCTGATTTACATCATAAATAATTTTGCTGATTTATTTGTATTTTGTATCTCTGTTCTCTTATGTCTCACTGAGTTTTCTTAAAATCTTTACTTTGAATTCCTTTTCAGGATTATTTTTAGGTTTCCTTTTCTTTAAGGTCTGTTAGTGAAGAATTGTGTTTCATTGGAGGTGTCATGTTTCCTTGCTGTTTCACGTGTCCTGTGTTTCTACTTTGATATCTGTGCCTCTGGTTTAACAGTCACTTCTTTCCTTTCTTAGGAAAAATATTTTTTTCTGGAGATGCATTTATAGTGTCTGCAGGGCAGGGTGCTTTGGCTTTGTTTCTGGTGAGTGTGCTATTATAGTCTTTGTATGACTTCTTCCAATGTAATCAATGTCAATGGTATCTGCATAGGCTGTAGTTGTTTTTCTAGGCTATAAAGTGGCTTTGCTGGGTCCAGGCATGCCATGCAAACTGGTCCTCAGGTACCTAGGGGAAGCACATTGGCATTCCACGGCCCTGCTGCTGGAGCAGGCAGGTTCATCAGCCATGGCAGCAATAGGCTTCAGGCAGGCCATTCCTTTTGCCACCGGGTGACACACACAGGCTTTGGCAGTAGTAGTGGTGGGTCCCATAAGTGATGTGCAGATCATCTGTGATTTCACCCTCTCCTGATCCCCCTTCTTAAATTTTACCTCCTTCTCTGCCTCATCCCTAATGCTTACTGCATTTTCACATACCTTAGTAATAAAAGTCAGAATGACAGGAGGAATCAGTGATGTGTGTTGCACACATTATTTGGTTATAAAGTTAATGTCTTTTAAATTTTTACATGTAAAAATATCCTCTGTGTCATAACAGCTTTTTCAGTTTGGCCCTTCTAAACCATCTACCATATTACTGGAAATTGAGAGAATATGTAACTTTTAGATATAAGAGCATTTCTTCTAGTTTGTTGGGTGCAGTAAGGGCTGTGTCCATGGTCAGCTAGCAACTTGACCTTGACAGTGTTAGGAATATAATACTGTAAGTTTCACTTCAATGCACTGACTGGGAATTTGGATCCAAGATGTTTCTCCAGTTTTGGGGTTGCAGCAAACAGCAGAGGTTATAAAAGTCTTCAAACACAGTGTTTTTTTAAAGAGGGTTAATCTTGGTAAAAAAGAAAAAAGTCACTGCAACAAACAATCATAGGAATTTCTCCTTGCTGATGGGCAGCATCATATTCATCATATTTTAATTCTCGTGGAACATAATAAGTTTCCAATTTCTGTGTAATGATTTTGTTAGATTCCCTCTTTCTCCTTTAACACTTATGTGGAAGAAGTTAAAGAAATAGGAATATATGCTGGGTGCGGTGGCTCACACCTGTAATCTCAGCACTTTGGGAGGCCGAGGTGGGTGGATCACTTGAGGTCAGTGGTTCGAAGCCAATCTGGCCAACATGGTGAAAACCCGTCTCTACTAAAAATACAAAATTAGCTGGGTGTGGCGGTGCATGCCTGTAATCCCAGCTACTTGGGAGGCTGAGGCAGGAGAATCACTGGAACCTTGGAGGCAGAGGTTGCAGTGAGCCGAAATTGCACCATTACACTCCAGACTGGGCAACAAGAGTGAGACTCTGTGTAAAAAAAAAAAAAAAAAAAAAAAGAGTATCTGGTAGATATACAATTAAGGCTTATTTTTCATTTCATTTTTCACTTCTTTCTTTAAATGTTATTCTCTCTTAGAATAAGTGGGAGAATACAAATCTAACCTTTGTGTGATTCATAGTTCTATTGAATGTCAACTAGCAGAAAGGTCAGTTGTTCACTTGAATCAAAAGGTAATCAATTTTCTATTTGTTCTTTTTTAATTTGCTTATTCATTAATTTACTGAGCACCTTTATGTGCTGAGTGGTATAAACAGACAAAATCACTGATGTCATAAAGATTATTTAAGAAGATTCATAGCTATAGAGATGTGTAAGTATTAATCATCAGTCTGCTACTATGAATAGTCTTAGAAATTTCCTGAATCTCGCCTCTCTTGAAAGTAAATGTATTAGTCAGGGTTCTTCAGAGAAACAGAACCAATGAGATATGTATATAATAAAAGGATATTTATTATGAAGAATTGGCTTACATGATTACAGAGGCTGAGAAGTCCCAAGATCTACTGTCTGCAAGCAGGAGACCCAGGAAATCTAGTGGTATAATTCACTGTCAGTCTAAAAATTGATGATGTAAGCCCTAGTCCAAGGAAGATGAGATGAATGTCCCAGATCAAGCAGTGAGGCAGGAAAAAAGGCACAAATTCCTCCTTCCTTCACCTTTCCTTTCATTCAGGCCTTCAGTGGATTGAATGATGCCCACCGACATTGGGGAGGGCAATCTACTTTTATTAAATTTATAGATTCAAATGCTAATCTCACCTGGAAACATTCTCACAGACAAATCCAGAGATGTTTAAACTAGCAGCCATGTCCTACTCCAGATGACACATAAATTAATCATCCTAGTAGGTATGGCCATAGACTAAGTCCTAGATGATGGAATATGAGCAGAAGTTGTGTGCATCATTTACAAACCTGATTTCTAAAAAAAATCTCTTATACAGGATGCTTCATATTGTTTTCCTTTGTGCCAGATTGGTATAGAAAAACACACTTATGTTGGAAGTCAAAATGTTGTAAATGGTAAAGCCACTATGTGAAAAGAGTTTGGGTCTCTGATTCAGCCCTTGGAAGAAAGGCATCCATCCTCAGGGGCTACTCTTCTATTCCTTACTTGAAGGAATAGAGGTCTTGGAGTTTATTTGTTAAAGCAGCCAGTGTTATCTTACCGACAAATCAAGTGTACTGTCTTCTCTTCCATACCGAATACTATCAAAATTCCAAAACTTAGTGACTCTTGAATACTTAAATTAATGTCACAAGGAAAGGACCAGTGAAGAGCGATTGCATCCCTTTTTGCAGTTAGATTTAATGAAAAGGTCTAGAATTGCTGTGATATCTAAAGAGAAAAGGAATGAGGATGCATCCCTTTGCCTGCTATAATGAAGAAAGTAAAACATGAACACCTCGATTCAGGACCTAAGAAGGGACATTTCTCAAGAAAAGAAAATACTATGTGGATTTTCCTGCATTGTTGGAATGAAATATCCTTGAGAGAAGGGAACTCAAGAGTAGTCTTCTAGTCATTACTATACATTCAAGGGCTTAAAATAGTGCAGACCACTAAGTAGACATTTCATAAAATTTGCCAAGAGAAAATATAAATTTCCAATATTTAAAGCCTCTCAACCTAATCATTTTCAGGTACTGATTGACCATAAACACATTCTAATATGATATCTGATGAAAGAACTGTCATCATGCTTTACAAATTATCCCATTTCCAGTGAATATTGTTACATTTACAATACCATCAATGTAACTAATCATCAAGAATTTTAATGGTTATACCAAGTCCAGCATTGGTTAGTCATCTTAACTGTTTAAGTAATCATTTTAGACTTTTAAGATAATGCTTAAGGATGGAGGAAAAAAAAGTCAAAGAAGTTGATAGAGACAGAGGAAGGAGAGAGTGAGTGTAGAAAATCAATCAGAAACAGAAGCCTGCAAAGAATACCCTTTATACATGTAAAGAGATCTAGGCAAAGAACACCAAATTTATTGCTACATCTCTAGTGCTTGCCACACAACTGTGGTTACATGGAACCCTAAAGTTCAGTGAGATGGCAGTAATCGTTCATCAAGAGGTGGCAATTGCAAAAATATATAGTTTTTTTTTAACATCACGTGTTGTGTGATACTGGCACTTACAGTGATGAGGTTACTGAGAAACCACATTAGCAGTGTTTTAGAGATTTTTCAGTCCTCCAGGACAGTGTAAAGTAGAAAGCAGTCAGTTGATTGAGTTTATTCTCAGATTTTAATGAAATATGGATGTAATTATAGATATAATGTAGAGGTGAGCACTGTAATGCACTAAGGGAGTATGGTAGGCTGGTAGCCTCAGTTTTTCTTTCATAAATTACTTTCCTAATCTCCTCTTATGCAAACAAACAGGTTGTCTCAGTGTATGTGAAAAGTCATGGGAAATACTCATTTTAAAGTAGCAAGTTGTATGTGCTGCTTATTATCTTCCCCCATCTACTTTACTGTCCTCAATGTTCCAAAACTTAGTTTGTGGATGTCAGAAGTAAATTATTATGTCAAGATTTTATATTTTAATATTAAATTAATACTATATGTTAATATTAATTTTTGGTTTTTTACAGTATTCTTTTTTATATTTTATTAGAACATGTATTTTAAAATATGTCTGATGGTCCAATTAGGTAACTTTTACATATATGTTGTCATATGAAAAAAAAATTTCATTTTTGCCCTAAGGACAAATATGATAAATTTAATAATGAATAATTGAACAACTGCTTGAATATACTAAAAATCACTGACGTGTATACTTTAAAGTGTTGAATTTTATGGTATGTGAATTATATCCCAATAAAGTTCTTATTTAGAAAATTAATTATGAAGAATTAAAATCTTCTGAGTCATTTCACTGCACTAGTGATACAAGGGACATACACTAAAAATAACATGTTCATAGTGAAAGCAACCTATGAGTGGATATTGCATGAGAAGGGATGATAATCCAAATTATACTATTCCATTATGTGCTGTATGTGAGAAACAACATACAAATGCAACATGACTCTAGAAGAGTAGAAATCACACTCAACCACAAGTCACAGGCATTTGACAATTAAAAGTGCTTATTTCTTTTTTAGAATTGATGCATAATAGTTGTACATATTTCTGGGACACATTGGTATTTTGATATATGCATGCAATGTGTA
Source organism: Homo sapiens (assembly GCF_000001405.40). Classification (NCBI taxonomy): domain Eukaryota; kingdom Metazoa; phylum Chordata; class Mammalia; order Primates; family Hominidae; genus Homo; species Homo sapiens. Next base: position 91,618,790 of record NC_000004.12, on the reverse strand, counting down.
ATGATCAAACCAGGGCAATTGAAACATTCATCTCACCAAACATTCACACCTTTATGTTGCGAACATTCCAATACCCCGCCTCCAGCATTTTGACTATGCAACAAATTATGTTTTTGCTGGAGGGGAGGTATGTTAACTATAATTGCCCATTTACTATACTATCAAACAATAGACTTTATTTCTTCTATGTAATTGTATCTTTGTATCTATTGACCAACCACTCTTCTTCTCCCTTTTCTCCCACGCTTCTCTGCCTGTTAACCACCAATCAACTTTCTGCAAAGATCCACATTTTTAGCTTCCACATATGAGTAAGAACACGTGGTATGTGTCTTTCTGTGCCAGGCTTACTTCGGTTAATGTAATAACCTCCAGTTCCATTCATGTTGCTGCAAATGACAGAGTTTTATTCTTTTTATGGCTAAGTTATATTCAGTGTTGTATATACAGCACATTTTCTTTGTTCATTCATCTGTTGATGAACACAATAGTGATGCAATAAACATGTGGGTGCAGGTATCTTTTTGATGCACTGATTTCTTTTCCTTTGGATAAATATCCAGTACCAGGATTGCTAGATCATATAAAACTTCTATTTTTAGTTTTGTAAGAAATCTCCATACTGTTTTCCATGAGAGTCACTATGTACTAATGTACTAACTTACATTCCCACCAACAGTGTACAAGAGTTCTATTTTCTCCACATCCTCACCAGCATCAGTTAGTTTTTCATCTTTTTAATATTAGCTATTCTAAAAAAGGTAAGATAATATGTCAGTGTGGTTTTGATTTGCATTTCCCTGGTGATTAGTGATATAGAGCATTTGTTCACATAACTTTTAGCTATTTGTATGTCCTCTTTTGAGAAATGAATGTTCAGATCTTTTGTTCATTTTTAATTGGATTATTTATTTTTCTGCGGTTGAGTTGTTTTCTTAAATATTCTGGTTATTAAACCATTGTCAGACGATAGTTTGCAAATATTTTCTCCCACTCTGAGTTGTCTCTTCACTTTGTTGATTATATCCTTGGCAATACATTAGCTTGATGTAATCCCATTTGTGTATTTTTGTTTTTGTTGCCTGTGCTTTTGAGGTCTCACCCAAAAATCTTTGCCCAGACCAATGCCCTAGTGTTTCCTAAATGTTTTATTCTGGTAGTTTCATAATTTCAAGGCTTATATTAAGGCTTTAATAAATTTTGATTAGATTTTTATATGATGAGACATAGGGTCTAGCTTCATATACATCTACATACATTTATCCAGTTTTCCCAGCACCGTTTATCGTAGGGACTGTCTTTTCTACAATGTAGGTTTTTGGTGCCTTTGTCAAAAACAAGTTGGCTGAAAATGTGTGAATTTATCTCTAGGTTCTCTATTCTGTTCCATTGGTCCACATGTCTGTTTTTATTCCAGCACCATGCTGCCTGAATTACAACGGCTTTGTAGCATATTTTGAAGGTAGCATGATGCCTTCAGCTTTGTTCTTTTTGCTGAAGATTGCTTTGGTTATTCTGGGTCTTTTGTGGTTCCATATGAATTTTATGATTGATTTTTTATTTCAGTGAAGAATCATTAGTGTTTTGATAGGATTTGCATTGAATTTGTAAGTAACTTTGAGTATTACTGTCATTTTAACTATTAATGCTCCCAATTCATAAGTGTGGATATCATTGCATTTTGGTGTGTCCTCCTTACTTTCTTTCATCAGTGTTTTGAATATTCCTTGTAAGGATTTTTCACTTCTTTTGTTAAATTTATTTCTAGGTATTTTTTCTGTAGCTATTACAAACTGGATTACTTTCTTGAATACTTTTTCAGATTGTTAGCTGTTGGCATACGTAAATGCTGCTGATTCTGTTATGTTGATTTTGTATCCTGCAACTTTACTGAATTTGTCTATCAGTTATAATAGAGTTTTTTTTTGTTGGTGGAATCTTTAGGTTTTTCTAAATATAAGATCATGCCATCTGTTAACAAGGATAGTTTCAGTTCTTCCTGTCCAATCTGGATGTCCTTTATTTTTTTCTTATTCCTGATTGATCTGGTTAGGACTTCCAGTACTAAGCTGAGTAAAAGTGAACATCTTTGTTTTGTCCCAGATCTTAGAGAGAAGGTTTCCAATTTTCCCCATATGATCTTAGCTGTGGATTTCTCATTCATGGCCTTTATTTGTTTTGTTTTGTTTTTGAGTTTTTTCCTTCTGTACCCAGTTTGTTGAGACTTTTTTTTTTTTTATCACAAATGGATGTTGAATTTTGTCAAATGCTCTCTCAGTATTTATTGAAATGATTATATGGTTTTTGTCCTTGATTCTGTTAATGTAAAATGTTGTATTTATTGATTTGCATTTGTTGAAACATTCTTGCATCCTTGGGATGAATCCACTTGATTATGGTGAATGTGTTGTTCAATTCAATATGTTGTTGAATTCAGTTTTCTAGCATTTTATTGGGATGTTTGCATCTATGTTCATCAGGGACATTGGCCTGTAGCTCTCTTTCTTTGTTTTATCCATGTCTGATTTTGGTATCAGGGTGATGCTAGCTTCATAGAATGAGTTTAAAAATAGTGCCTCTTCTTTAATTTTTTAATAATAGTGTGAATAGAAATAGTATTCATTCTTTTTAAAATATTTGGTAGATTTCAGCTGTGAAGCCATCAGATTCTGAGCTTTTCTTTGAAAGGAAAGTTAATTACTGCTTTGATCTCATTACTCATTATTGGTCTGTTCATGTTTTCTTAAGGGGCTATTTTACTATTTAAACAAGCACAGTGAAGTCCTTATTTTTGAAAAAAAACCCCACAAATTAAATAAAAAGCTACAAAATACAAGGTATTTAGTAGCAGAGTTTATCACCAAGATAACAAACAGGCATATCATTGGTATGAGACTAATAATGTCACCATACAAAATTATACTGACTAAAATGTTGAATGAGATGCAGTATGACAAGTTGAAAAGTTGTTTCTCAAATAGTATAATAAGTCAACATACTCATGACGTATTATGTGATGCTGAAGAAAATTTGGATAATAAACTGAAAATTAACAGCTTGTCTATCCTGGTTGATGATTCAACATATTTCACCAATAAATGCCATGTCAAACATCACCATTTACAATGTTACTATTGCTTCTTTTAAAAAAGTTATCTTTCAAATTTATTAAGAATATTATATGTCTAGCTATACAATTTTAAATAAATTTGTACTACTTGGTGTTCTGTGAGCCTCCTGAATCTGAAGTATAGTATCATTAATTTTAGATAACCATCATTCTACTCCCTGTTTTTATGAGTTCACCTTTTTGTTAAATTCCACATACTCTACAGTTTGAATGTATGTGGCACTCTAAAATCCATATTTTGGAACTTAAACCCCAAGATGATAGTATCAAGATATGAGGCATTTGGGAAAGTGACTTATTGGAGTCTAGGTCTTGCCAAAAGACTCAAATAAATAAAATCTGAATGAAAGAGGAAACATTACAACTGATATCACAGAATCAATAATCAGTAAGAAGATTAAGTCAGTATAAACTAACAGTAACAATTTTCAGTGTACAGAACTTTTACCTTTTTGGTTAAATTTATGCCTATCTTAGTCCATTTTATTTTGCTTTAAAGAAATACCTGAGGCTGAGTAATTTATAAAGAAAAGAGATTTATTTGGCTAATGATTCTACAAGCTATACAAACAGCATGGCCTCAGGATCTGCTTCTGGTGAAGGCTTCAAGCTGCAAGGTTTCTGCTGAGAAATTGGCAGAAAGCATTCTGGAGTTTCCTTTATATATGATAAATCTCTTTTCTTGATGCTTCAAAAATTCTATCTTTGGTCTTTAATTTTTGACAGTTTGATTATAGTGTGTCTCAGAGAAGATATATTTGGCTTTACTTTGTTTATAAATATTTGTTTTTAATATATCTAGATGTCCATATGTCTTCTCAGATTTGGACAATTTTCAGCCATTATTTCATTAAGTAAGCTTTCTGCCATTTTTTTTTTTTTTTTTTTTTGCTCTTCCTTTTTTTCTTGTTCCCAGTATTTGTATACTGGGGCATATGATGAGGTTCCATATATGCCATAGACTTTCTTCACTCTTTCACATTCTTTTCCCTTTCTATTATTTTTGTTTGTTACATTTTTTTTCTTTCTCTGACTAATTTAAAGTGGTCTGTCTTTAACTTCACAGACTCTTTGTTCTGATGGTTGATGTTTCCTATTGCATTTTATATAATTCATTGATTCTTTAGCTCCAGAATTTGTTTCTTTTCTTATCTCTTTTGTTGACCTTATTTTTTCCATGTATTGTTTTCCTGATACAGTTGAGTTGTCTATCTGCACTCTCCTGCAGCTCTCTGTACTTTATTTTAAAATATTTTGAACTTTTTGTCCAGCAATTTGCAGATACTCATTTCTGTGGGTCAATTACTAGAAAATTATTGTCCTCCTTTGGTGGTGTCATAGTTCCTTGATTTTTATGTTTTTTTTTGTTGTTGTTGTTGCTTACATTGATGTCTGCACATTTGATGTAACAGTAACCTTCTCCAGATTTAATGGACAATTTTCACCTGCTTATGAGTGAAAGTGAGGGTGCCGACTGAATGGGATGCACCAGTTCTTGCTTCAGTAATGGCACAATAGTGCACTTTTTGTTAAGCGTCATCAGTGTCAATAAAAATTTGCAGATGTCTTCAGTGGCCAAGGCTATGAATATCTGCAGCAGCATCTACAGCTGCTGGTGTCATGAGTATTTTGTTTCTTCTGCAAGGGAAGTTGTGGCTAAGGGGATCCCGTTTGGTGCTGAGTCTGGTTTTCAGACACACTTGCAATGGTGATGTTACTGGTGTCTGATATGTGATCTCTGTGGAGTGGCCACAGAACTGGGGTCTGGAGTGTGAATGCACATGGAGGAACTTCAGCTCTAGGGCTCAGGCCAGTGGTGACACTAATTCTTAACATGCAGGCACTCTCACTGTGTCATTGGTAACGGTGTGCAAGGTGGGGTTGCTTGTGGAACAGCTAGGCAGCTGGGTTTGAAACTGTGGGCACAAGCATATGTACAATGTCTCCAGGGTCTAGAGTACAGAAGTTCCCACTGCAGCCATGGCTCCAGTGTCCTAGACACAGACTGACTCTCAGTGGCTGCAGAGTCAGGAACTGGAGGCACAGGCATGTGCAGAGTGACCTCAGAACTGGAGTCTGGAGCTTGGGCACATGTAGAGAGACAGGAGCTCCAGGTATCAGAGTGCAGGCTAGTACCCTCTGGCAGTAGCTGTGATGTCTGAGGCAAAGGCACTCATAGAGTGCCATACAGAGCTGGGGTCTGGGGTATGTGTGTGCAGATCCACCATGGCTTCAGAATTCAGAGTGTGCATTGGGAGGGGCAGTGTAGCCCTAGTCCCTGGATGGTGCAATAGCAGCTCACTTCTGTTGGGTGGTGCAGCAGCATCTTCATTTTTAGGGGGCCTATGCTGGTGATGATTGTTGGTTACCTCAGTTCCTAAAGCTCCCAGTATCCTCTGCAGAGCACTCCACTGAAGTAGAGCTCTGTTGTGAAAGCTGTGGGAGTCTGTGGCTTCCATAGCTGTTGTTGAGATCCTTAGTGGCAATGACTGCTGGGATCCTCTGCACAACAGGTTACTAAGGACTGTGGTGGCAGCTGCCATGTGGCTGCTATGGATAACCCCTTCCCTTCTTTGTTTCTAGGTGTCACTAGACATCTCAGGTATGCTTATCTTCCCCGTGATCCTTTTTATGCTGCCATTGTCCATTTTTTGCTCCATTGTGTTGCTGAAGATTCTTAATTGGACTTTTGAGCCTTCTCGGGGCTAATTCTGTTCTCGGATAGCTTTCTATTTTTTTTTTTTTCTAGGAAGATGAAGGCTAATGTCTCCTAGTTTGCCATCATTCTCGCCTGTTTCATTTCTCTTTTTCCTCCTTGAACATATTACACATGTCTCATATCTTTTGAAATTTTCCCACAGTTCTTGGGTGTTGTACTCAGTTTCTATTTATTCTATTTTTTGTCTCTTTGCATTTCAGCTTGGGAAGTTCCTGTTGACTTGCTGTCATGCTCACTGATGCTCTCCTTGACTATGTCCAGTCTACTGATGAGCTCACCCTACACATTCTCTATTTCTGTTACAATGTGTTTTATTTTTAGCATTTTCTTTTGAATCTTTTTATTTTTATTTTTTTTTAGTTTCCATATCTCTGCTTACATTATCCATCTGTCCTTGAAGGTTATCTACTTACTCGACTAGAGACTTTAACATATTGATAAGTTATTTTAAATTTGTTGTCCAATAATTCCAAAATATGTGTTATATCTGAGTCTCATTCTGATACCTTCTTTGTCTCTTCAGACTATGTTTTTCTCTTGCCTTTAAGTATGCTTAATTTTTTTTGCTGAAAGCCAAACATGATGTATCCGATAATAAAAATTAAGGTAAATAGTGTGAGGTTTTATGTTAACTTATCTAGGAGTTGGCCTGTGTTTATCATTTTCTGTAGCTATAGGAGGTAGATGCTTAATAGTCCTCTAGTCTCCTTTTTTGTCTCATTTATTAACTTTTATTTTCTTAAGCACTTCCCTTCAGAGACTCTAAATCTTGCAGCAATTTCAGCCATAAGCCATTGTTCTATTGGAGCCCTGTTGGTGTAGTAGTAAATCGGAAGAGTGAGGAAGCCTTCTAAAATCTTACGATAAAATCTCCGTCCTTTGTTTCGGGATCAGGACCTTCACAAGTTTGTCTCAACTTCCACCTCTTTAGTGAGACAAAAAAGCCAGAATGAGCTGGAGTGAGAGAAATGCCCTTCCCCCAGATGGGATGTTTCCAGTAAAGTCTTTTCCCTGGAGGGGCAGGCTTTTGTTAAGTAGAATGCTCTGGGAATATTTTACAATGGTTATTATTCCTCTCTTCTAGTCGTAGAGAGGAGGAGGTAATTCTTGGATCTTTGTCACAAGAGCCTTGTGGGTTTCCTGGATAAAAAATACACAAAAGTGTGGGATACTCACAAAACTGTGGTCCGGTGAGTTTCTCACTCTTACTCTAGTTCAGTATCAAACCCCAGCAGTTCATTAAAATTACTATCTAAGTGATCCTACCAGTTTATATCTTCAGTGGTGTCTTCTCTGGGTAAGGGAATCTTGGCTATGACTCTTCGGATCTGAGGCTTACCATATTACAGAGTTGTTGTTTGACTTGCAACCTAGTTGTCTTGCTCTCGGCCCAAGAAAAGTCATTGATTTTCAGATTGTTTAGCTTTCCCTTGTTGTAAGGATGGGAATGATTATTTCCAAGATCTTTATAAGTTGGAGCTAGAACAGACAGTCCATCATATTTTAAAGTAGGACTTTAGTATATAACCCTTACAAATTCAATCAATTCTAAATTAGTTATGGTTTTTGTGATAAATATGGGCTAGTCATTATCAAAGCCTTTTTAAGATACCAATTGAAATAATTATGAGTTTTTTCTTTAATGTTTTTATTATGGATCACATTTATTTTTTATGTTAGTCATCTATGAACTCTTGGTATGAGCCCTATATGATTATGATATATTCTGTTTAATGTTGGTGCAGTTGTGTAATACTTTCTTTGGAATTATTTTTGTATATTCATTAAAAAATGGGTCTGTGGTGGCCGAGCGGAGTGGCTCCTGCCTGTAATCTCAGCACTTTGGGAGGCTGAGGCGGGTGTATCACAAGGTCAGGAGTTCGAGACCAGCCTGGCCAATATGGTGAAACCCTGTCTCTACTAATAATACAAAAATTAGCCGGGTGTGGTGGTGCACATCTGTAGTTCCAGCTACTCAGGAGGCTGAGACAGGAGAATCACTTGAACCTGGGAGGCAGAGGTTGCAGTGAGCTGAGATCCGAGATCATGCCACTGCACTCCAGCCTGGGCGACAGAGTGAGACTTCATCTCAAAAAAGAAAAAAAAGAGAGAGAGAGGGAGAGAGGGAGAAAGAAAGAAAGAAAATGGGTCTATGAGTTTCTCTTTTTATATTGTTCCTACCCCTAGTTTTAAAAACAAGTTTGCAATAATCTTATGAGATGTGCTTGGTAACCTTGAGTTCTCTCAAAATTTCTAGAATTATTGTACAGTTAGGACAACTTGCAATAAGATTATTCTGACTACAGAGCTAACCTTTTAATACTAAGTTAATTATAAGTGAATTGGCCCAGCAATTATAGCCCTAACACTCTCCCTGCTATCACTCCTGTGAACCTTATCTTCAGCAAATTTCTTAATTGCTTCCAGGAGTCAGTTTGAGAATACCACAAAATTCTTGCACATTTATACCTAATGGGGGATATTCCAAATAAATGAAATAAAGTGCTTGGTTAAGGCTGCTTCATAAGAATTGCCAAAGTCATATACGTTCCTAATTGCCTGAGAACCCATGCTAATTTTGTAGAACAAAGAGAGTGGAAAAAATGAATTAGAAGGATCATAAATGACCTGTAAGCTATTGTGATGTTCTTTCATCTATATTATCGAAATTAATCTTTAAAGTAAATTTTTGTGGTAGAAATTATTAGCCACAATTTTACGTGTCAGAAAAGTTAAGATATATACAAATCAACAATTTTGCCAAGTTTATATAACCAGTAATGTATACAGCTGGAATTCACTGCTCTATCAGTCTAAATTCCATATTCAATGTCCATAGGTTTCTATGCTAGTAGGTAAAGTACCTTAGGATAACTCATAATTGTCCTATTTTTCCATCTCAAAATTCTGTTTCAAGTGTAAAATGTCTGCACAGATTATTTACAAACCTTTCTTAATAACTCTGGAAGAAATAATTTTGCTCTGTTCTATGTTAATATAGAATAGCACAGTTTGATATAACAGTCATCTGTACCTCCTACTGGCTGTGTGACTTGGGACAACTTCCTAATTTTTATTGTTCCCAAAGGCAAAATAGGAATAATAATATGAATATTTACCCAAAGCCTTCTTGTGAGATTAGATTAAAAAAACTTATGTAAAGTATCTAATATAGTGCCTACCTGTACAGAACATCACTCAGTAATTGTTAGGCATTATTACAATTAATAAAAATTTATTTCAGCTACTAGACAAAGCTTCTATTCACTGTGTGTGGATTATATACATATATATACATGTGTATATATGTAAAACACTTAAATATAGGTTAATTATTGTTCTGTTTTGCACCCTAAGTGCAGATCACACTATTTGGCAGATGGTAGGTAACCAGCATAAACGTGGGTCGCATAAATGCATGAACAAAGCTGATTATTCATGTAATGTAATAAAGTTAACAGAATGGTTTTATTCAGGAATACTAAAGTTGTCCTTAATTCTTAAAAAAGGATAGATTTTTATAGTGTAGATCATTCCTCTGAGTGACTGCAACCCTATTAATTTTAAATCCTATGTTCAATTGTCATTTTGCCTACTCAAAGTATAGATTAGGAAGACTTCCAACATCAGAACTTTTAGTGGAAATTTCAGAATTTATTATTACTAATGTAAGCTTTAAGGATTCCATGCACACAGAGAGAAAGCCTAATGAGAGGTGATTTATAAGACTGCTATTTCATTAAAGGACTATTGGAGAAATAGAATTGGAACACCCTGACTCTTTAAAATGCAATATAATAAATACAATGGCCAAAATCTTTGCTATTACATTTTACCTTTCTAGTAGTCAGCTAAAGCACAACATACTGTTAAGAGACAGTGGCTTTTGGTCATTGTTATATACTATGGTACTCTTTAAAGTCAGTAAGTTACTAACACTTCAGCAAGCATTCTCATGAGTTTTGTTTTTAATAGATAATGAAGCAGTTTCAGAACAGGAAATGTTTTTCTGTGTGTATGAAACAAAACATAGTAAAAAATAAATAGCTCTGTAAAAGCTTGAAACATTTTTGTTTTAAACATGTGGTAGGCTCCCCATGTTTGGAAGCAACATTATCTTCAGCAAGATAAACATTAGTGAAACATTATATGGTAACCAAAGAACTTGATACTAAAGATAAGTTTTCATTTTTTAAAAGAATACAGAAATTTCAGAAGTCTTTGTGCAAATCCATTCATTATCAAAACAGTGTTTTAATCATGAAATACTAAAAAAACACTCGTGAAAAATTTGAAAATTTCAGAGATTATAGAATTTTTGATATTTTTCTAGGGATTTCTCTTAGTTTTTTCTATGATAGCATCATCAGTGCTCATGGGTTGATAAACTTGGAGAAAGCCAAATGCTTCAAAGAATTCCCACTTACTAGGAAAGGCAAATGATTGATTGAGTGGTAAGTGATTGATGAAGCATCTAAATTCTTCTTAGTCTGTGATAGGCCCTATTTTTCAGTCTTCATGAAAATCATATAAGGTATCCCATTATTATCCCATTTCATAGAAGGAAAAATGGAGATAAAAAATGCTCCAAGGGCACACGACAAGAAATTGTCAGATGGAGTTTGAACTCAGACATTAAGCTGTCTTCAACTGCTCTATTCACAGAATATTTTCAGATTCATTTCTCCAACATGTTTTAGAGCTACCACAAATGGACATATGTGACTGCTTTAAGGGCACAGTGTTTGACTAGACCATAATTCTACAATTTATGTTATTGCTTTTAAGAACAATGATACAAATTCCTCCTTTCCTAACCACATTTCCAAGTCCCTTACAATTCATCAAATATCTTGGGAAAGTGTATAATCACCTTCTACAGTTGGGTGATTCACAGTATATATATTTGAATCCATATTTCCAATAAGGTAGACAGTTCCTTTCTAAGAAGTGTTTGTACAACATCCTTTGAAAGATTAGTATAAGCCTCTTTAGGATGAAACCAAATTGCATATTTACAGTAACTCCAATTTTACCTCAAATGCAACAGCGTGATTGCCTAGAGCTATGTAATGAGCTTACCTGTCATATGAATGAGTTTATGTGAATGGCTTCATCAGTTTCTGGGCTTCGTTATGAAAAGATTCTTCCAAAACCCTTCACATTCAGCTCTTGTGTCTGAAAGCATGGGTTGATATTATTCTCACTGAATAATCAGATGTTGATTTGTCTCAGTTGATCTGGAAATATCCTGTATCAACTTCCTGTGTTCTACTAATACTTTCAATTGGCTCTCCAACTTTTACATTACAATTTGGAATTGAATTTCAACAACATATGTGATAATCCCACCACACAACATCTATTCTTAGGTGATTGTAAATGCCACTCTTCATTTTACTTTCTACATGAACAACAACCCTTGAATATATGGCTTAAAATATCTAAATTTGCAGCTTTTGGAGACATGAAAGCCTCTGCAAATGAGCCGTATTTTCTTTTTTCATTTTTTTGAGATCAGATCTCTCTCTGTTGCCCAGGCTGGAGTGCAGTCATGCCATCTCGGCTCACTGCCACCTGGACTTCCTGGGCTCCGGCAATGCTCCTGCCTCAGCCTCCCAAGTTGTTGGGACTACAGGTGTATGCCACCACACTTGGCTAATTTTTTTTTTCTTTATAGAGATGGGGTTTCCCCATGTTTCCCAGGCCCAGCCATGTTCTCTTTACCAATATAATATTCTCATGATAGAACTTATAAACAAAACAGTGATGATGGCTGGTAAGATGGTGCTACAGCTTTATCAAATCGACTAAGAGGTATTTGTTTCGGTCTAAAGATGTCAGGTCCACTCTTAAGCTATCTGGTCTGTTTGTATGAAGATAAAACTTTGGCCAGCATCTGACCTAATATAGACTCTTTAAAATCAGCCATTTAGTTGAAAAATGATAGCAGCTCAAATTTACAGGTTATGGTCACATTTCATTCTTCACCAGAAGAATTCAAGACTGGGTTTACATGTATATTTCCCTTTCTTTCCAGCTCTTCTTTAATGGAAAATATATAATGTTGGATCCACAGAATTCAGAAGCACCTCTTAACATCCTATTATTTTGATATTTTTAGATTTTGGTCATATGACTACCAGTGTAATATAAGTAGTGTTTTAAAATAAAGCAATATTCTTTCTTATTGTTAAATTTTGGGTAAAGGCCTACAAATGAAACTAAATCAAACATTACACTTGGATAAAGTAATAACTCAAATAACTTTCTATCTAAAAGTTGGTTCTCACTTTTCACAAACATCTTCTGAAAAGTGATTAGAACTTTAAATCCCCCTTAAACTGTAATATTCACTTGTGTCATTTCTGTACATAAAATGCTATGATACCTGTTCAACTGATAATATCACTACAAATGTCAAAGCATTTGCTATATTAGAGAAGTAAGAACCATAAAAGGGAATGAGATATGCAAGAGTCACTTAAAATAAGATAAAAAATGAGGATATTTGAAAGAATATATGAATAGTAAGTACTAGATACATCAATATTTCATTTTAAACATTTTAAAACTACTGTTTCATGACTGAAATTTAAGAGAGAAATATCCACATAATTAATCTACAAAAGTGTTGATTGATTATAATTATAATCAAAGGGTTTTTAAAATAAACCAATAAATTCCAGAAATAGAGTTTGAGTTCTCATAAAGTCTTCAAAACAACTCTAAAGTTTAACACCTTCAGTAATATAATAGAAAAAACATATACATTGCTTATTGACATGCTTTATAGAAAATAAAGTTTAGAATTAAAAATAATTCTTCCTATCATCAGGAAAATGGCTTGATTCTTAAACTATAACATCACATTAATTATAAATTATAAAATATACCATAATGCTTTGTTTCAGCTTATTTAAATTGCATTATATGAAAGTACACTGCAGAAGAACACTATTTACTGTGAAGCTGTGAGGCCCTGTAAACACAAGATGTTGGAGTGTATTTTCGAGGCATTGCAGGAGCATTTTAACTGTATGTTCTTCCCTGTTGGCCAGTTTGGATGCCAAATGGAAACATATACGTGTATCATTTCGAATGCTTCAGTAACTGTACTGAATCATCCATCTTCTACCAGTTTTTAAAACTCCAAGGGTGTGTGTGCGTGTTGATAAAGACAGGGAACTTAGAAAAAAAAATTGCATTTTTGTGCTGTCACAGGGTTTCTTAAACTACAAAGTCAAAATGGTGTGAAATATATTTTGAATTTTGAATTGTAATGAGTTTTAATAAATGAAGATAAAAATAGTATAGCATTTTTATACTATATTATAGATCTATTGACATTAAATATAGCAGTATATTCTTCTAATGGTCCCTGGGGACCATTGCATAGTATTGCTATATATCAGAAATTTTAAAAAGCCTGATGGTGAGGAAAGTAGAAATATAAATTGTGTCAACTAGCTGATGAAATAAGTGGCTGATTTGTCATTTTCCAATTGTCACAACCCTCAAGAACCTAGAAGTAAATCACAATGCTTTATGCCCAATATGAATGCATGTGTAACTCAATCTATCATCAAGACAAGTTCAAAACAAATTAATGTCATATTGAAAGCAATCAGGTACCACACAACTAATTTGTTGTTTTAAAATTTATTATGAGCAGGAAATATGCATATTTTTCTAATCACCATGCTTAAATATATCAATCTTTTCTTAGAATATTAACCAAATTGAGAAATTTTCATTAAATAAAAATCACTATTTTTCTTAGGAAATCAAGAGCCACAAAAAATTATACTACTGTATTCAATATTGCTAAAAATTTTAATTTCCAGGGTAATTTTCTATTTATTATCTTTCTCACTAAAGTTTTAGAGTTTTAGAGATGATGAATTAAAAAAACTATTATCAATGTTAATAATCTCAAACCCATATATCTAAGAATGTATCATACAGGGTGTATTTTTTCCTTAAAAATGGGGTCTAACTAAGATAATCAATTCTCTTGCATTCTTTTTTGGAAGAGAGAACTCATGACAGGATTACGTCTTATTCAGACATTATTTTGGTATATATAATTGACTACAAAATATAATACATTTTATTTAAAAATTTAGGACAAGTAAATTTGTATTCCTCATTTCACTTCAATTCCTTCTGAATAATTAAGCAAATTCTAAATCAGCTGTAATTTTAGTTCCTAGACAGGAATATCTAAAATATTTTTGTAAATATCTTGTTTTTTAAGTATGTATAAGGCAATACAAACAGGAATTTGATGATGTCTGTATCAATGTCCTATGAAGGAAAGATATAAGACAATCTGATAACTAGTTTATTTTTCATTTACTGTATGCTTTCCTTTTGTTAGACACTTCATTGGCCCTCTACTTTAAAAAATATAAAATCATTTCTTAGCATTTTTTCTAATTGCTTTCAAGAGAAGAAAATTAGAATGTCAGTTTTTCTGGGAGGTAACCTTGAAATAGAAGAGATGCCCTCTGAAAATTCTGTATTTATTAAATGTCAATAATTGTTTTAAAACTGCTTTTCAATGAACAGTATTTTGATTTCCTAAAATAGATCATTGCTTAATTTTTTGTCCCTAGCAATATCAATGGAAGTTTAGGAGTAAAGGAGATTGAAGCAGCACATGTTTGTTTAAATCACTCTGCCTCCTTAGGAGAGATCCTATTCTGGAGATAAGCATGATATAAATGGAAAGTTCAAGGGTTATTAAATCCAATTTAATTAAAAATGCATGTTGTGTGTCCTGGACAAGTTACCTAATGTCTCTGATCTAATCTACAAAAGAGTAAAACAATAATTACCTAACTAGTTATTGAAGTATGTGATTAGGGAAGTGGGCTCTTTGACCTGAAAATGAGTGCTATAAACTAAATTTTTATATCCCCCCCCAAATTCATATGTTGAAGCCCTAACCCCCAGTGTGATGGTGCTTGAAGTTGGGGCGCTTGGGAAGTAATTAGGTTTAGATGAGATTATGAGGGTGGGGCCCCCATGATGAAATTATTGTAGTTATTAGAAGAGGAAGAGGCCAGAGCCCTTTCTCCAACATGCAAATCAGGAAGCAGATCCTCACCAATAATTTATTCTGCCCCACCCTAATCTTAGACTTCCTAGCCTCCAGAACTTGAGACACAAGTGACTGTTGTTTAGTCACCCAGTCCATGGTATTTTGTTATAGCAACCCGAATTTACTAAAGAGGTAATGTTTGGAAAGAATGAAAGATGTAGGATGCTCCTATTCTTGAATTTTATGTTCAGGTGGAAGAAGTATGTATGTCGTATTAAATTGGAGAAGTTAATGAGGCTACACTGAAAATGCTCTAAAAAGAACCGTGGTATCCCATATTCTAGATCACTTACTCAAATGGAAGGAACCTACTCTCTATTAATGATTTTATTTCACCTTAACTATTTGTAGGAAATTCTCCACATCTTAAACAGAGTGAACTGCCTTCATTCTTTTCCATAGGTAATTCAACCACAGAGTGTTATCATCTTTTAACTTTTTGGTTTTGGGCTGCATGCCTTGGAAATAGAACTGGGGTCTTAACGAGATCAAATGTATTGTAAATAAATAGTTCATGGGTATGTATGCAGTTTAACATGGTGAAACAAGTTGGCACAGAACAAAATTTCAAAAATAAACATTTGGCAATGATGAATATTATTAAAGAAGAGAGCTGTTTTGTTTGGTTGCTTAGTTGACTGTTTGCTTTTATACTACAGTGTAATTCAGCTTTTTAAAAAAATGACCAGTCTTAACTGAAATCAGCCTTTTATAAGAACCAAAACTAGTTTGTATTTTATATTACGCCTTCTACAGCCTAGAGTTGTCATGATAAATTTACCACATGAGAAAGAAACAAGACATGTTTTAAAAAGCTTAAACTCTAGGAGAGGTAAATTTCCCAAGAATATTACATGTGATTGAAATACTTCTTATACAAAAATATATATATGCATATGAAAATACATAACAGGATCTGATAATAATGCCTAAATAAAGTCAAGTCTTAGATAGCAATCAAAATCCTGGTATAAATGAATGGGTGCTACATTTGAGCTAATATTATCAATAAGGGAAAAGCTTCTGATTATGGGGCATGTGATTCAGTAACATGAATGGCAATCATAGATATCATCTTCACATGTATTGCCCTTTCTTTTCTAGTTTCATCTGTGTGTATATGTTTCAATGGAATCTTAGGGTTATTTTGAACCACTTCCTTCTATAGCTGTTTAGAATGTTAAGTTCTGAAAGTGAAAAAGTAGTAAAAATTTAGATTATAATTATGAGATTATGCTAAGTATTCCAAATTATCCACTGCTATGGGTTACTATTTCTTTATAATGAGAAGCTGATGATGACGAATGATGTGCAGAGATAATCCTAACCATTCAGCAAACTGTTCCTACTGTTTAATCAACAACTAAGTTGCCAAGAAAGTTTTTGAGAGGGCTAGTGGAATGTAATCATTTATCCTGGGCATGTGAATCTTAAATATATCATAATAATTTTTAAAAACTTTTTTCTGGAGAGGGGTGTATGGTTATTATCTCTATTAAACAAGACAAAGAAAACAAAACAAAATGTGGAATTTCCTATAATGGGAGTTCAACATTCAGGAAATAATGACAATGAGTTAGGATTAAATCATAAACCCAGATTAATCATGAAAATCTTTGTAAACACTTTAAGTGGGGCAACTATGCCTACAAATTAATATTGGCTTACTATTTTATTTTCATGTCAATCATTAGATAACAAAAATAACTTGAATAACATGTGGCTCCAGGTTTTACCCTGACCGTATTGATAGTGGTGGATTCACATCTTTAGCATTGCAGCAACAGTTTCATGTTGTGATTTGAACAAAGACTATGGTGCTCCAAAGAAGCAAAAATAATTCGGGAGAGAATTCATAGTTTTGTGGTGACTCTCTTAGCATATAATTTTATGGAAAAAAATCATTGAGTTCATAGAAATACAGTTTCATGTTCCAATAATTATAAAAATGGGAACAGTTTATTTCAGGTGGAAACAGCTTTTCTTCAAGGTATTTCTCTTCCTAAGTGTTCCTTTAAAACACATTCTAAATTCAGAAGAGACAATTTGCAGCAGAAATTTTACAGGGTTATTTAGGCTTAGCTACACATACACATGCACAAAAGAAAGAGGAAAGAAAAGAAAAGACCACTGCTTCCATCAGAAAAACAAGCACTTTTTCCCCCTGGTGTCATGTCTTTGGATATGTACCGCCTTGGAGAAATGCATAAATCATTTTTATACATGGAACTGTCTTAGAAAACTAGAGATTTTAGTACAAAGAAAGCAATTCACTGAAAGAATGCCCACATGCCATTGTTATAAGTTACTATATATACACAAGAGGAACTTACAAAGAACCCCTGTTTTACAGTTACTGATGTACATTAGCATAGTGGGCTTACACCTTCTCCAGGCCTGAGTTACACTTAGTATTACAAATAATATTATAACAATGTTGAAAATACTGATACAAAACAGCTTTAAGATGATATTTCCAAAAAATACCCTTCCTTTTAAAATCGAACTGTTTAATCCAGGTTTTCTTTTGAATGATTCAGCTTTAAAAAAGATTTTTCAAGAAAATACTAGCGTTTAAAACATCTCTTAAAATGTCTATTAAATGACAGATCTTCTATAAATAGATTATTTTTATAAAGTATAATTCAAAAGTCTATCTTCCAGGAAAACAAAACTATCAACTCCAAAAGTCCAAATCAAAAACATTATTTGTGATACATAGTTCTTCCATATCCTGGGAAAAAATCCTTGATTATTTTATCATGCTTATTTATGTACAGATTTAAAATACTCTAGCAACAGACACCAACATTTAGGACAAATCAAGCTGAATTCCACAATTAATAATCATGATTTTTCTATTTTCCTATCATTTCTTAAATATTGCCCAGCCCAAAGTGTATATCTGCATGATCATTATAGCTTCCAAAGTATGGTGGGAACTTTAGATGGCAATCTCATTAAGTCAAGCAATTTGCAGTGTATATTGTTCTCTTTTGGCAGAATTACAAACACGCAAAGAAAGAAAACATTTGGCAAATGTCTGCCTTGATGCACATGTGTGTTCCTTTGGAAAACCAAAATTACAAGTACAACATATCCACTCGACTCCTTACTTTATCAGTTCCAATCTAAGTTTGCAAATGTATCAAAGTTCAGTAGTTAAAGCTCAGGGGTGGAGTGTCTAATGGCTTTTCCCCAAAGCACAGGGCACAAATACATTTTTATAATAGGAGATGCATTTTGCACACAGCTTTAATTTAAGCAAGTTGTCAGATGCCATGCTAAAACTGCTATCTCAATTTCCCTTTGTTCATCTTGCTTGTGCACGCTGACAGATTCTGTTAGAAAATGCAAGGGAAACAGATCATGCAGTAGGTATGACAGTTTCAATTTGCATGGACTATGGCTAATGTGGATGTACTTAACAGCTCTGATGTGTATAAGAAAACTGCAGCCTTGATTCCTATTAGTCTTTTAAAAATTATTTATTTATGTATTCAATTGTACTCTTTGATTCTGCTCTGCTACTAATTGAACATGATGGAATTATCCATAGATCAATTCATATATTGATCTAAAGTGCACATAAGTATATAACATATTATAACATATTTGGGCCTTATTTGTCAAAGAGAAATATTTGCCATCAAATGGGTTTTAAATATTCCTGTTAGAAGCTTATTTCTAAGATTAAATTGCCAATGTTCACATTTACTTTACTTTTGTTCCAAATCTAGATTTCTGCATAGTCAGAATATTGTATGCTGGCTACTAAAATACTGACTTTCTGTTCTTCAGTTCATAAAATTATAGATATGGGTTGATGTATATAAACCAAAATTGGATTTACATAAAAAAGAACATTTTAAAAAATAAGGAAAGTAAAGAAAAAGAATAATTTTCTTAGGATGTTTCATCCTTGAAATTTTGAAAAAATGTTTATATTGCCATGACAGTGGCTCAAAGAATATAGCATGTCAGTATTTATGCATCATCTGACAAAATTCAACCAACTTTATCACCTTGTGTTATGTCACGGTACTTCAACATCAATAACAAAAACTAAAAGCAAAATTTTTCAAAGATCAGAGCTGTCATTCTCTATTTGGCTAGCAATTACTCTGTCTGAAATCCTTTGTGAACTAGTATGAACTAAACGTTTAAAGGAAAAAAAATACAGCCATTTCCCCCTTACTAGTATCACAAGATGAGCTTGAATGTATGTAATAGAGACAAACACATCTCTAGGTTACATGCAAGCAAGCCACATTCTTCAAATAAATATACCACCAAATATAAGACGTTAACATTTCTCTTTTTTCCTCCTTCTATTAATTATATAATTTAAAATTCTTTATAATTCCTTTATCTATTTTTCATCAGGTCTACTTTTATAGTAACACCATTAACAGTGAACAGATTGCTATTTGATATTATCTTCTGAAACCTTAATGCATATCAGTAAGTGATAGAGATAAAAAATAAATAAATTATGGACTATATAAACGATCATGATGGTCCCATTTATTATACACCTATATAGTAAAGTCTTCAAGGCAATGCAACCTAGTTCAATTAACATGCTCAAACTTTCACTCTTGGAAAAAAAAAACCCACAAGTCTTTGTTTATGACTAAGAAAAAAAACCCAACAACACAACTCTGTTTATAACTAAAATGTAAGAAAAAGTACATGACAATTTTAATATGAACTATGCACGAGAAACACTAACCATCTTTATCCTACCCAAAGACAGGAATACGGTGATTTAATTACCCATCCTGCTGGCCTAGAGTTTGCAGCTCAGTGCTGTGTAAATTGTGGTGGAGAAACACATTCTTCCTGCTGTACATGTGTAAAGAGATTGGCCCTCTGGGTGGCTGTCCAAACCTGCCTGTAAAGGTCGAATGCTGTCGGGCCGTAGCAACTTGGTCCTTTGGTTTCTCTAAGAACGTGGAGAGCCCTTCTGTCTTAGCTGTTGGCTTCAGAGAGCTCTGCCCAACGGTGGCCCGTAAGTTCTGTGTAACGTCTGAAGTGAGGGTTTCATAAGTTCCTCTTGAATGTTTGATAACTTCTGCTAGTTCCTTGTCCTTCAGGAAATTACTTAAACAGAGACTTGGGAGTTGACAGGTCTTGTTTTTGTAGGGGCTTGTCTGGTCCGCTGCCGAATACCTAAAACGGTCCTCGGTGGGAGTATGTATTGCTTTTCTGTCCCTTGTGCTGAGATTTTGGCTCACAATTCGATTTCGATATGTAGCCTATGGTAAGACACAGAAAGAAAAAGATGTCTTAAAAAAACACTTTCATAGCATACATACAATACAGAGTGATATTTATACATTTGTGTCTGAACCCGTAAATTTTCAATGAGGTTTATAAAATTATCAATACAATTAACCATGGGATTAAATTTTCCGGTGCAATACTATTACAGATAGTGATTAAATGGTTAATTTACTCTAAAAGGCATTTTTATATTTGTTCATCTAATTTACTAAATTTGAATTATATAGCTTCACAGAAAATACAGATTATTTTATTAAGTAAAAGGTGATTTATATGATTTGAAGCGATACCAGAGTATGAAAATACAGATTATTTTAATAAGTGATGAATATAGACATATGAGGCCATTAGCTTTTGTTGGCTTAATATGCTATAGTTACTTAAATATATGTCCAGAGAGTTTATAGAATTATCAGTATCATGATTTGTATCACCAAAGTGGTAAGCAAGAAATTAAAGGAACTAAAAACACACAAGTAACTACAAGAATCTAAGAAGACCAATAGACCACTTATTAGAAATTTCAATACATGTTTCATTTAGACTTTTGGATGCAATTTATTAATCAAAATCAGGTCCACAAGTACATACCATCTTCTTGCTCATAAGAATTGTATACTCTAGTAATAACAAGGCATAGCTCATTGAATCATGCTGTGAAGAAGCAAAGATTACAAGCTAGCACCCATATTCCTCCTGAAGAGAGCACTATGTTTGTGTAGAAAAACACATTGAGGTAAAAACTGAGACTGGCTGGCTTAATTGTTCTGCATGCAAAAAATGAAGGATTTATTGTTGCTACAAAGAAAGAGGATAAAAATGAAGAGAAACAGACAAGGGAGAAGAGAGAAGAGCACTATAGATAGCTGCAGGCTCATTTGCTTATTTAGCCATCATCACTTTTTGTTTGATTAATATTACTTATATTAATATTACTAATTTGGCATAATATCAAACCAAACAAAATAAAACTTGATTCTCAACTGTGAAACTCATTCTTCCCCAAGAATTTCCCTTCTCAGTAAATGGCACCACATTCAGGCCAACACCTGAAAATTATTCTTTTCTCTTTTCTTCATACACCTTAAAATCAGGTCCTTGCTATTTACAAAATATAATCTCAAGTCATCCATTTCTCTTCATTTCTACTCTTTCTTCCTGACACAATTGCCTGGCACATATTAACCATTTAATAAATATTTGCTGAATAAAGTTTGAGATAATACATAATATTTATTGGGTGTGTATTTCCAACACTCTGCTATTGCTCTCATATATTCACTCTTCACAAGAGTCTTTTGAGGTAGTTTCTTTTATTCCCGTTATACAGACTGGAAAATTGTAGCACAGAGTTTGATTTTATCCTAAGCTAGTGTAGGACAGGCCGTCTGCTTGATTATCTACCAGTTCCTTCTTCCTCGAGTATTTCCATAGGAATTTTTCAAAACTTCATCACATTTTTCTAAAATTAATTACGTGCAGAAAAACATTGTAATATGAGCTGATGCCTCAAAATGATTATTATTGAAATAAGTCTCCCTCCTTTTCTTTTCTACAAAACAAAGACCCACTAGGCGTCCTTAAACTCAGTGATTTCAGAGGGAAGGATTTTGCTACTCAGGCCTTTCCTTTTTATTGTCTTGATGTCTGTGATGTCATCTTTCCTTTTTATTGTCTTGATGTTTGTGATGTCATCTTTACTTATTTATATTTTTGTGATAAGCTACTTACAGCAGACCCCCCTCTGTGAATTCTAATATGCTGTTTTAACTTTTCCTTAGATTTGGAGTAGACATAGGTAGGTTGGTAATTTGGTGTAGAAAGGAAACATTGTAAGACTCACAAGAGATGCCTCAGACTTTTTAGGAGTAAAAGGAATAAACTATTTTGATTCCATTTTCGTCATTTGGGAACTTGTCTAGCTCACTTTCTTCTTCTTGGCTCTTTCCCAATACTCTAGGCTATGGACCTATTAGAAATGTGATCTTTTCTTTTTCCTCCATCCCTGTAAACTTATATGTTTATTTAATTGTTACCAACCAACCCCCAAATCAACCTTGTGCTCAATATCTGTGGCCAAATGTTAGACATATCATGGGTGCTGCTTATGAAATATTGTGGAAAAAATTGGGGATGAATGCAACATTAATAAGTCCATAATGATAACACCAGTGGTTACATTTCTTTTTCATTTCTATTTCAACAGATGCTGCCTAGGAAAGTAGAAATGGTAGGAGTAGACTTCATTTCCACTATTTTAATATTACCTTTGAGGGAATATTCATTGTTTTCTTTATGTGATCATTTTAATTCTCCTGGCATATTATATTAAATTGAATATACAGTTTTAAAAAGACATATTGAAAAGGATCAAATAATTCAGTCACACAGGCAGCCTCAGCACCCCTTCTCTGGTACAGTATCTGGTACTTAGAAGGCACATGTGGATCTACTATCAAAAGAAGCAAGATGGGGCTTCTTACTCTCAATTTTTAAAGGAAAATACACATTTAAATCAACCATTTATGTTTATTTAGCATAGTTTGTTTTTGACATGTTAGTTTTTTTGCCCTTGGTTTTTTTTTTTTTTTTTTTTTTTTAAGTTCTCTGTGATATTTACTATTATCTCCAAAGCTCATAGTGGACATAGGAGATTGCATTGTGCAGGGGTTAATCATATGGGTAGGGTCAGATATATATGAATTCATTTATTCTTGTGATAAATATTTATTGGCCACACTGAGGACAAGGTGCTGCATACATCATGTGAAATAGGGCTGTTCATATAAGACCCAAATGCTACCTTAAGTCAGCTTCAAGTCAGACACTTTCTAGTTTAGTGAACATGGCAAGTTACCTAAGCTTCCTAAGCTGCCAATTTCCTCATCTGAGAAATGAAGTTTTATATTTATATCCATATCTTCATAAAGGATTATTACAAATATTTAATGACCTCCTTGATTATAAAATGCCTAATTACCTGGAATGTAGTTACCTTAATCACAACAATAATCATCATCATCACAGTAACAATATAATGTAACTAACAGACCTTGAAACTACTTTGAGAGGTATTTATTTCATCTTTTAGAACCTAATCACTTGGAACACTTTTATCTCTATTTTAAAAAGAAAGTCACTTTCTCTAGAAAATTCAAGTAATTTTATATTTATTGTTGTAGTTTGGTTCCACAGAACACAGACTGTGAGACAGATGTTTGTGAAATGTATTGGGGAGTGTTCTTAGGCCAACAACTATAGAGAATGAAGAAAGCAGAGTCAGGCAGAGTGAGAAATTAAATTCTGTGCAATTACACTATCTCGACTGATCACATAGGGAGGTCTGAATTTGGGATGGTTCTTAATAGTGGTCTCCAATTCAGGCAAGTCGGTGGGAGTCTTATATCCCATCATCCAGTTATTGGACATTGGCAGGCCCTGGGAAGGGCTATAGTATTGGATGAGTAGGTTTTTTTGGTTTTGCTTTTTTTTTTTAAGCAGAGAAATTATTGGAGAGAAATTTACTTGAGAGCTATCAGTTGCCAACACTCTCAGCAACAGGAAAAATTAAGACTTCAGTCTTGAAAGTGTATTTGTTTGAGGCAGAGAAAGGGAAAAGTAGGAGGCATATCATACCATACACTACACTAATTACCCTATTGTGTCTTTAGTATATTATAGGACAATTTGAGCTAATAGAAAGAACACTGAACCTGAAGCCAAAAGACTCTAGTTGTGCTACCATTGAACTGTGTAACATGGAATGAATAAATTAATTATTCTGGGCTTCAGTTTCTAAGTCCACTCACTGAATGAAATGAATAAAATGTAAGACAATAGAATTTAGATCTTGAAGAAACTCTAACAATCATTCAGTTGCTTTCCAATTCTAAAATTCTAGGTTTATTTTATGCTACATGTTTTGGAATATGTTTAGAAGTACATAGGAAACATCCTCTTAACACAAAATATTAAAATACATTTTGGCATATGCATTTGGATCGGAAGGATGGGAATCTAAGATAGATAGATATAGATAGATCTGATTTGGGTATATATATATGTATATATATGTATATATGTGTGTATATATATGTATATATGTGTGTATATGTATATATGTATATATATGTGTATATATGTGTATATATGTATATATGTGTGTATATATATGTGTATATATATGTGTATATATATGTATATATATGTGTGTACATATATGTATATATACACATATACATATACATATATACACACATATATATATATATGGATTTGGTTGCCTTGGCCCAGAGGAAAATAATTTCCATATTATGATGTTAACCAATGTTTATTACCTCTGAAGAATTTGAGATCCCTGAAGGTAATTTTAATGCATGTGTCTAGCCACATCTTTCTCAAAATCAGAATTAAGCCTCCTGAAACTCATGTAATTATGTCAGATTCTGCGCAATTTAGTTGTCATGCAGCTAGCTTATTACCTATCCATAGAATTCCTAATGAGGATGAAAGGATGGAAAATCTAGTGATTAATCAGTCGACTGTGCACATTATAATAAGTTCATTGTTACCTTTTAATTGTCTTCCTCTCATTTCTTTACAATAGCATATAGCCTGTATTTCATCAAATGCAAGAAAATACTAATTTTAAAACATATTATTATTTAATACACCACTAAGAAATGAAAAACAAAACACCTGATGCTGATTTAAAACAAATAAACCACATTCACTTATTTCAGCCTGTGTGATCCATTAGTAAGTCACACCAGCCTCTCATTGCAATTTATTTTGTGTTCAGTTGCCTTGTTTGGCATTTGACAGACAGTCCTTTTGCATTTTTCTCAATGATTCAGTGTCATCCACACATAGGTATATTCCCTCTCTAGATTTTATAAAGCATTGGGTTTTTACTTAAGAAAAAAGCATGGGGGCTGGGCGCTGTGGCTCACGCCTGTAATCCCAGCACTTTGGGAGGCCGAGGTGGGCGGATCACGAGGTCAAGAGATCAAGACCATCCTGGCCAACATGGTGAAACCCTGTCTGTACTAAAAAAAAAAAAAAAAAAAAAAAAAAGCACGGGGTTGAAAACAAGACAGTTAAAAATATTTATTTCATTAATATTAAAATTATACCCTGTTTTTTTCCTTGGCTTTCTGTATACAAAATTATTTTTCTTATAACATCAAGTACAGTAAGCTGTTAGAAAACATTCTTTAGTAACAAATGTAGCACCAACATTGCATATAACTCAATTAAAGAAAGGCAAATATGAAGCTATGATACAATACACATTGCACGGGCAATTTAAACTGCATTACAACTGCAACCTGGTTAAAAGCATTGATTGTAAAATGAAACCTGATATTTAGGGATTCTATTATATTAAAAACTTGTCTCTTGGTGAAAAACAGAAATACAATAATCATGCCAATGTGCAAAGCCAAAATTTGTTAAGGCTGGATGATGTGATGATAGAATTTATGGGGGAGGGGAGAAATACTTCAATCACTGATTAATGAACGTTTAATAATGTTTTATTTTTTCTGAAGTTCTTTTCCTTGTTTTGTAAAAATTATTGGTAGTTGCCATGAATGTTATCAGGCAAAATTATTCTGTTATAATTGCTTGCATACATAAGAACTCTGCACATGATTATTTTCATTGACTTTAAAATATATTTTTCCTGCAAATGTTCTCCACTTAACAAAAAAAAAATATTGCTTTACAACAAGAATTGTTCTTAAAGGAATAGAGAAACTTGAAACAATCCCCCAATAGCCATCTAGGAAAACTGGTATTATACTTAGAAAAATAACTAATGTTAAACAGAATTTAAAAATATTTGAAAGATTAATGAAAATATCAACATTATAATGTGAATTCAATTGAAAGAGTAGATAAATATTAAATTATGTTAAAGTGAATCAGAATTATTCTTGGTTACAGTTCTTGTAGTAGAAGCTAAGTAGTAACTTTTGTATGGATAATTCACACTGAGAAATGTGTCTTCTGAATAAGTTCATGGTTTCCTATTAATGAGACCTGCAGGTTAAGATACACAATGAGAATACCATATATTTTATTTCCAAGAATAGACACATTTACCTCTGCCCATTACAGTACCCAGGTGATATGGTTTGTCTGTGTCCCCAGCCAAATCTCATCTTGAGTTGTAGTTCCCGTAATCCCCACATGTCATGGGAGAGACTCTGGCAGTTACCCCCATGCTGCTATTCTCATGGCAGTGAATGAGTTCTCACGAGATCAGATAGTTTTATAAGAGGTTTCTCCCCTTTGCTCAGCAATTCTTCCTGCCATCATATGAAGAAGGACGTATTTGCTTCCCCTTCCACCGTGATTGTAAGTAAGTTTTCTAAGTCAAGTATGTCTTCATTAGCAATGTGAGAGTGGACTAACACACCAGGTCAAATAGAATGTAAGTTGCATAAGGGTAGGGACTCTGCCTGTCTTGTTCAATGCTGAATACACATGTCCTACCAGTACCTGGCATTTACTGAGAACTCCATTAATATTTATACAGTCTGGAAAATAATCTACTGGACTTTCCTTATTAAAATGGCTTATTTAACAGATCTTTCAAAACCACCAAAGCAATATGACATTATATCTACAGCATTAGATATCAAAGCAAATGAAAAAAAATCAATTTCAGTGTATTTTGTCAATACTGTAGAAAATGAATTGAAAGGGAGATATTGTATGGCTGCAATTTTTAACTGCTGCCCGGCCCCATTGTGTAAACATAAATGGTGGGTACATACATCTTTGGGTAAAATCCAGAGCTATAAAAATACTCGCATTAAAATATGTTTCACTCAACTCCTTTATCTTCTATTTATGTAAATATTTTAACTTCTGAAATACAAATGACAGTGGTCATAATATTATCTAATTTATAAAAATAAAAAATTTTGGTAATTTAGTAGTAGTAGCAAGATATTCCTTAGAATAAAAACTCAGCAACTGACTGACCCATTTGACACTGGTCTAGTTGCTTGGAGACTGATTGAGTAGATCACTTTATTATTTCAGAAAATAAATGATGAATGTATAAGCTGAGGCATTATAAACAAAACAAATGACAGAATACACTCTATAATACATATATTAATTTAATTAATTACAAATACATCAACATAGAAACATGCAATGCTGTGATATCAAGAAGCCATTGTCCCTATACTGGTAAATATAATTACATGTAAGAAAAGTGCTTTGAATAAAAGCACGTATGAATATTATTACTCACTGAATAAAATATTGAAATTTATAAATAAATCTTAAATGTAAATAAGCATTTTCATTTTATGTACTGTATGTTTAAGTATGTATTACTTATTGCCTTGTTTTTGGGACCATCATGTACATTGCAGGATGTTAGTAGCATCCTTGTCCTGTACCTACAGAAGCCAGGGTACCTCTCTGTCACCCAGTTGTGACAACTAAAAATGTCTCCATACATTGCCAAATGTCCCCAAGGGGTGGGGGATGGCAGCAAAATTGCCCCCAGTTGAGAACCACTGCCCTAAACTACAATGCTTCCTTAAATTAAACAGATAAAAATGATCAGTGATATACATATCAAGAAAGAAAACCATTATACATACATTTCTATCCTTTTATCATTTATAGCCATTATGAGAGTGAAATTAAGCCTTTATAATTAATTTTTATGTTACTTAGTTTGCAAACACATATAATCCTTATTATATACCAGGCATTCTTCTGGGCCCTTATAATTATTAATTTTAAAAAATATCATCTCCTTTACTAAATCAATCCAACGTAGTAATACACAATGAAAGCATTTAAAAACTACTTAAAAAGTAAATGCTCCTTTTGATATATCACGACACAATGTGTTGATGTAAAGTAAACAGGCACTCCTAAAATGTGCGTCTTTCTCAAGTACAATCATTAAAGGGCCAATGTAGACTCAAACCAAATTTAAAAATAACAGGCTGCCCTTTTCCTGTCATCACTGAGAAATAGAAGTTCTCTTCAAAAGGTTTTGGCACCATTGCTGTGTCTGTTTGTAGCCTTAGACGTGGAATCTGTTTTCAGTGATAAAGAGTTCTGTTAAAGGTCTAGGAAACACTCTACTACAGAGAGACTGTGTAAAGAAGTAGTTACTGCTTTGCAAGCAGGAAGCCCTGTAATAAGTTGATGTAATAACCGAAAAGAAACATCAAAAGGTTCTGGCAGACAGGACCTGATTTTTTTTCAGATTGCACAAATTACCAAGAGGTGTGGAATGGTGCACATTGTCCAGAGTTAAACTACTTCTTCTGGTTCAACCTCGCTTCTAAATTCTTTAGGGTATACTAAATTCTACTGGTGGGCATTTAGGACACAAACAGGGTTAGAAGACATGCATGAGATAAGCAAGGTGAATGCTAATAAGGCCAGCAGAGCTCCCAAGAGAGTAAAATCACAGCACCTCTCTCTCTTCAAAGGACAAGTGAAAACATACAACAGTTTTCCCAGAAGCCACTAGGCATATGTTTTGACTGTTCTGTTTATAATTAGAGTAAATGAACTCTAGGCAGAACCAAATCTTGTAGAACAGTAAGTTGTCTTTAACACTAATGTATGTGTGAGAGAGTGTGTGTGTGTGTATATGTGTGATCACCCACTCTGTGTCAGTAATTCTCCTTAGTTAAAAGGTGATTTAAATGAGAATTTCAGACAATTATTGCTTATAAAAGCAATAACAGGAGTGTGATTAAGGACTCAATTCAGAAGACATCTATGAAAATATAATTCTGCACAACTGGTATTCCAGAAATATGTGATTTCTAAATAAAAGAATGAGTTAAAGATTTAAGTTAAATTTATATGCTAGAGGGAAAGGAGTGGAGAATAATTTTCTGTATTTGCATAGGAATGCAGAAAAGTGAACAATTGTAGTGGCTTAGTATAGCAAAACATAAAAAAAAAAAAAAGAGCCTCTTGTCTAGACACCCTGCTGCCCAACACCTAGCACATATTATGTAATAAAATGCTTCTTGAATGAGAATAGTATTTAATAATCTTAAAAAAATCTTTAGATTCACATAATGTCTCGTGTGAATAATTCATAGACTTTATAGCCAATCGCTGTGGCTTTATGTGGTAGAAATTCTGGAGTCCAATAAATGCATAAACAAATATATTGTATATCATTAAATTAAGAATCAAACTTATTTTTCATCCTTTTTTAGTCCTTATTAGCATGATTAAATAATGTGAGCCCTAAATTTCTTGCTTAAATGATTCTATCTTACAAGTAATTTTACTCTGTATGCTCTCCTTGGAAACTTCTAAAAGTAACGTATTTACCTAATCTAAGAGATAATATGAGCAAGGAAGTGAAATAAAAATACAGTAATTTCATAATATCAATGTGTTGTTTTATATCAGTATAATGTAATGCAAACTACTTTTAGGAATAAGCTTGACCCACTGATAAAGTCAATATATTACTAAATACATAGCAAATTTTGGAGGATAGTACAAACAATACAAGTAATTTCAGAATTCCATCTGTCATATACTGTAAAATATTATAAATGGCTTTCATACAAACTATCCCAATTTATTCTTGTAAATGTACATTAAGATAGATTAGTTTTGGATGCCTTACTTCAAAGGCATTTTTATACATGGAAAGCTGAGGCTCTTACTAATAATTGATTTAATAATTGACATAAGTTATGTTTTCCTTCAGCAACATGCACAATTCTGGGTTGAACAAATGTCATTTAAGGAAATTCAGGGGACATACACAAGGCAATGATGTGACAAATAATAAGAACCTACATTTTCTGCACGATGGTTTGGTGAACATAATACTACTTGAACGTCCTTCAAAGAATTTAAAACATCAAAAGAATACTGCTAACATATATAGAAAAGAATACTGCTAACATATATAGAAATATAAACATACAGAATAGCTGGGAATTGAAGTAATATCCACCTAATTTTTTGAAATTCTTTCACATAGTATAAATAAGGAATAAGACACAGCAGGGAATTAATTATAGTACAAAAAGTTATGGTCAGAATATCATTACATACAAGTTAGAACCAATTTTTAAAGAAGCATAGAATTTCAAAAATACATTCTTTTGCTGTATAAAGAGTTGAGCCTTAGAGATAAGAGGCTTATTTAATAATAGCAATTTTTCAAATAGCCAACCACTTTTTTCCTACTTAGGATGAGTTTATGAGTGTTAGAAACACTTACTATAGAGTGAAAAAAAAATCTAAGGCTATTTTTTTTCTTTTTGAAAAGCTGCTTTATCAAAGCAAATCATTTTCTTTGCAAACTCAGAGTAGTCGCAAAAAGTCTGCTAACAAAGAGAAAACAGATGGGCCACCAGCTTCAAAGTTAGTCATCCTTAAAAAGATCTAAAATTGATTTTTAAATAGAAAAAAAATCAACAAAGCACAAAATATAATGAGAGTCAGATGAAGCTTACAATTGCAAAGATCTAAAATAATTGTCAATTATTTTCATTTTATTGTCAATTATTTTCATTTTATTAATATCTTAACTTCTTGCTCACTGAAAATATAAATATTTTTATTTTTTGATATAATATTAATTCAAGATTCAAGAGAGGCTTTAAAGTTAATGTATTTTAATACCTTGATTTTATAAGGAAACTGACTAGAGAGACTGTGTGACTTGCCTTAGATTATAAAGATTGTTAATGGTAAAGGCAACAACCAATTCAAGATTTTCTAAAGCAGTGTTTAATATTTCCATACAGAACCTATCACCTTTCATTTTCATGCATAGACACAAGATCTGCATTCGATGTAAGAAAAACAACATCCAAAAGATTTTTGCTGGAATATTTAATTGTACATGCCAGCCATTTTGTTATATTTCGGCAAATCTCATGAACGATGGATATGCAGAAATTATATCTGTTACGTTTACGGAATAAAAAGGATGGATAAATAGAAAAATTCTTAGAGTAGAATGTGGAAGATATTTTGTGCTGTGTTACTGAGAAATGAAGATCAAGAAGTAAGCATTTGATGATAAAGTCAACATATATATGTCTGATCTTTGCTAGGTATGCTGTGCTACAATAGGCTGCAGTTAAAAGGAAAGACATGGTAATAAGATATTGGCTTAGGATAGATCTGGATTCCCCAGATTGAAGTTTTCTAAAAGCAGAAGGAATAAGTCTTCCCTGTCTACACAGGTGATGTCTTCTGTATTTTCAACAGAGACTATGTTGAAAGGTCCTGATGTTGGAATTATAAGGCTAAGGTGAATCCAAATGATGGTCACAGAGGTGGTAGTTATCTCTCTAACATCAAGACAAATTGGCAGATACTAACATAGGTACCAAATGAATTCTCTAAGAAATCAACTCTATAGATTGTGTGTTATGTTGAGTATACTGGGCAATTTCCCACAAATAACTGTGAGAGAAGAGGTATCTGAGGAGTGTCAAAATCTAAAACTAGTCCTAATAAAAGAGATTGCATCTCCCATGCTAAGTTTATTAATATTTTTCATTCTCTGTGGTTCTTTCTTCACTATTTATTATTTCATTCATTCATATCTATTCATTATTATGGAATACCCACAAAATATAAATACAATGAGTGATTCAAATAAACTAAGTATGCAATATTACCCCCAAGAACTTACTTTTACTTAAGGAACTAGACTACTATAAATAAAAATCAAAAGAGCAAAATGAAGCCACTAAAACAACAATATCGTATCTTAAGTCATGACCAGATTTAGTGAAAAATGTGTGGTACAACATAATTTCTAAGCATGAAACAGAGCTTTTAAAAGAATTGCCTTCTTTGGTTGCTTCAGTTTCTCACCATCACCCCTACCTTGTTCATCATCCCACTGCAATTTGGCTTTTGCTCTTGAAAATCTCTAAGTTGTCAAGTAAAATGGATACTTGTCAGTTTATACATTTTCTTTACACATTAAGAGGCATTTTAATGGAGTTCAGCACTTTCATTTTGAATTCCATTATCAGTTGGTATTTGTGACATTTCACGCTCCTGGTGCCTCTCCTGTTTCTCTGGTCACAACTACTCAATATCCTTTGCTGGGCACTTTTCCAACTAAACGCTTGGGTCTTGATGGCATGGTCCAGATTCATTTCACTCTCCTAAGGAAATCTCATCCATTCACATAACTTTAAACATACCAACTTCATGTGAACAACTCTTAACTTATTTGCTTTAATCTAAACTTCTTTTAATTTTCATTCGTGTATCTACCTCCATGACTTTTTTACTGGTATCTCAATCTTATTTTTTTCTAACTAAACTCATAATAATTGCATCATGTCTGGTTTTCATCTTAATACTTCAGTAACATTTGTTGAACAAATAAATGAGTGGAGACCACAAAGAAACTCTGAAGTTGTAGTTGATGCATTCTCCTTCTACCTCTACACTCTATCACTAGTTGACAGCGATTCTATTTATATTCTGCCCACTACTCTCCACCTCCATCCCTCTAGTTCAACACCATTATCTTGTACTACTTTATCCACTATTTTGTGCCTTCACACATATGCCACAAAAGAGGGATAATTTTTTAATGCAAATTTAATCATGCCATTGACCTTCTTATTTTCTTTCAATACCTTCCTACTGAATTTCAAGAAGATAAATATTCTTGTAATGGCCTACATCACTCTGAATGATCTAGCTCCCTCTTTAATTCCTTCCTAGGACAATTTTTTCTTTAATCATTGGGTTTCTAGCAACATTAGCCATCTTTGAGTTTCTTAAACATGAAAAACTTTCTCCTTCCTTAGGTCTTTTAGGTCCTTTACGCTTTTAGCCTCTATCTGGAATGTTCTTCCCTTCATTTTTACCTGACAGGTAACTCAGTCCCTAGAAAATTTTAAGCCTTTTCACAACCCAGAATTTAATTCAAATTATACTATTTTAAACCTTCCAAATGCAAACACAACCTATACATTCTCTTTATAGCAATTGTCCTATACATATGTATGTATATACATACATATAATGCATTTATTTGTTTAATGCCTATCACTAATTTAGACAGTGTGCTCTGTGAAAGCAAGAATTGTGTCAAATTTTTCTCCCAGCATTTACCTTAGTTTCTGATATAAAGTAAGTGTTTGACAAACATTTGTTGAAGATGAGTGAAAAAAGGAAGGGATTGAGTGAAATGGGGAAAAGAGAGAAGGATCATATATGGGGCTATCTCAACTAAATCCTTCAGAGTGACTATATCTTGGATTACTGAAAAGTCAGAAAGGCATCCTGGGCATCACGAATAAGGAGTAAGTATATATTTATGAGACCTATTCTGAGAACTACTAGTATTAAACTTACTTGCTAAGGTGAAGTAGGATGTTTACATAGAAATAAATGGATCAAGAAAATTTTGTGTATGTAAGTTGTCTACATTGTTTAAGTTTTTGGCTGCTAATTTAAAGAGTGAAATTTTAAATCAAATGAAGGTCAATTAAAGGTTTATGATGAGGTAAGTGACATGACAAAGCAGTATTTTAGAAAGGTTACATAATTGGGAATTAATCAGTTCAAGGTAAAAATACATAATAAAAGGCAATTCAGAATGCATACACTTGTTAAGAATGAAGGAAGACATGTGTCACAAACAGTGGTTATAATTAAAGTTCCATATTATAGTAATTCAGATGTCTCACATAATAGGCAAGAAGAAAATTTTTAAGGCTCTGAAAAAAATGCAAAACAATAATTTTTAATAACAATGTTTATATAGTTAAAATACAAATAAAACCTGAAGAAAAATATATAGACTTCAAATCAATTTTAATTTTATATAGTAAAAATATTAACATGTTGAATTTATAATTAACATACTTTAGGACCAATCAAAATGTATTTAATTTTTTTCACAGGATTTATGTAAAACAAAACTTTTACTAGTATTTCCCTAAAATATGAACAAATGATGAAACATTTTGAGGTTAATACTGTTTCTAAATTTTCCCTAGGATATTTTTATTTAGAAAAGTCTATTGATATAAAAGTGATCTACTGCACAGCATCAGGGTGTTTTTTACTGGATCCTATGCTCAGGGTCTCACCAATATGAAATAAATGCCTCCAAAAACAATTTATACTACCTCAGTGAGAATGATTTTCCTGTATCCATCCAAATGAGTCTGAGAAACCATGCCTCTTCATAGACAATCTAATACATCTAGTCCAAAGAGCCTCAAATATTTTCTCTTGAAATTTATTTTTTCTCTGAAAACTGAGAATCTACTGACTGGGCATGGGGATGAGTGATAGAGAATTATGCCTCCAGACCCTCAAATGCAACTACGTAGGTGAAAGCAGATCATGGTAGCTCTGGTTCTGGCATTTAGTAGTTATTTGTTGAACTTGTATCTGTTGAACAAAAAATGAATAAAGAGGTCACCAGCTTTCCCAGTACCTACTTTTTAAAAATAATTTTAATTTACTATATAATATCTCAGACAATTTTAAAAGAATGCAGATTGCTAACAAAGCATGCTGTGAACATTTTGTAAGGAAACAAACAAAGCTGTACAGCATTCTAGTATCCAGAATGTTTCAAAACATCATTTTGTAGAATCCTCCTTAGTCCTCACTTCATCTGGCCAACAATATGTCCTTTTCAAGTTCATCCCTAAAATCTAAAGAGCTGTATAAAGTTGCAGCCATCCTTTAAAGCAGAGGGCATATGACACTTTTTCCATCTCTTCTATCTCACAGGAGACATCTGATCTATCAAAATAATTGTTTAAAACTTTGTATAGTTCTTATATAAAAACATGCATAATATTTGTACTACTTAGTGTAATGCACAAGAAGAAGGCAAGACATCATGAAAAACCAAAACTCCACTAGTCTATTCAAGCAAGAAGCTTAGAAGTCAATTATTGCATATCCCAATAATCAAGATGCTTTAAACTTTTATTTTCAAATGTCAAGGAACTCTATAGAAAATCTGCGTGTGTCCTTAGAGTAGTACACCTTGTTTTAACTCAGAACATATCATAATTAGCACCATCTACTCAGGAGTGGAAGGAAACAACCCTTGAATGAAGACAGCTCAGATATAATTCACACAGAACCATAAGGAGATAGATGCAATTTATAAATGCTGGACAAGAAGAATTTAAAAAAGAATGAAGCTATTTCTAGATAATACATACTTAGGAACAATTTTTTTTGCATAGCATATTATAGAGAAATACTGATTATTTTATTAAATTGATTTAAAGTTGCTATATAAAAACTTTCTATTTGAATATGTTCAAATAGAAAAAATGTGTGCTAGGGATATAAGAACACAATAAATATAATCAGAGATTGTGTTACAAAAGAGTACATTAAAAAGGATTTATTCTCATAGCCACACTTGACTCCAAATATTTACAAATTCCTCAATAAAAGTGAGAAATTTATCAGTGGCTCCAACTGTATGTTAGTCATGGCTTTCATATATAGTTTAGGCTTAAGTGGACTATACAACGATATACAGTATGGGATTAGTCATTCTGGAGCATTCAGTTTGCTATCTTTAGCTCTAAGAAATTAGTTCTAAAATTTTCTCATAAGTAAAAATTACCTTATGATCAGTTGAAATAAATATTTATGGGACCATAGAAGTGACTCAATAGTTTTGCAGTTGGGCTCAGAATTCTTGAATTATAACATGCATGTCATATGTTCCTAAGACAAGCAGTATACTGTAAGATGAATGTTTCCCTAAGGTAAATAATCCCATCAGAGATGATAGATTGATTGATTGATAGACAGATAAAAGATAGATATTAGGTTGGTGCAAAAGTAACTGCATTTTTGCCATGAAAAGTAATGAAAAAACCACAATTACTTTTGCACCAACCTAAATAGATAGTCAATATGACCTATCCCTAGTGGATAATAGTTAAATCTGACTCCTACACACAAAAGAGGTAGCATTCCATAATCGGACTACATGATGCACATCGATCAAAGGACATATCTCCTTGAGTTTATTATACAAATTTGAGCAATAGTAAATCCCAAATGTGGGTAGCTAGAGTGATTAATATAGAGCTGTGAAAGACTGTATACTTCAAGTGTCATTTCAATCAGGCAAAAAATCATTTTAATTGTGTATAAATCCTGCATTACAAGATTTCCTTCAGAAATTGTTTTATATAGAGGTCTGGACTCACAGAATCTTAACTAACAGTTCAGACAAGATTTGAATGTCCAGAATGGTAGGTCAGGTACAGTTATCTTCTGCCTGTTCCTTATAGAAAGTGGTTTCTGCACAAACTTCTTCTTGCCTACATGTAGCAATCATTTTCAAAAAATAGCAAGACCTCCAATAACTGCCATGCAGTATTCAAATGAAACAAATACATCTACTCAAATACAATAATACAAGTAGAAAGAGATCCTGAATATTTTGAGGTTTACTTTCAAATTAGATTCTATTCATGACAAAACTTACTTTTGCCCTTGAGGTGCATATACATAAACATTTATTTCCATCTATCCAAGAATCGTAACAAGAAAGAAATAATGTATGAGCATGTTATGAATCAAGTAAAAATAATTAATACGGTAAATCAGTGGTTCTCAACTAGGGCAAAGTTGCCTCTTAGGGAACATTTTTTAATGTTATTAATGAGGGGGGTGGACTATTAGTATTTAGGAGGTGGAAGTCAGAAATTCTGCTCTGCATAAGGTAGGCCCTCACAACAAAGATTTATCCAGTCCAATATGTCAATAGTGCTAATGTTGAGAAACTCTGCAGTAAATTAAAACTATAAGTCCTGCTAATACTTATTTTTGAATTTACTCAAGAGCTTAAGAATGAAACATTTTCCTGACTCTGACAGTGTACATAACTAGAGATTTAATTCACAATTCAGGTTAAATCATCATTTGGAATACTCCATTTGTAACCCTGTCAGCTGCTTATCCTGCAGCCCCTCAGTTTGGTGCCTATCAGCCTCCAGTATAGACAATGATCCCACACAGGATGTCATTTAGCTGCAGTAAGTAATTGTTCTTCATTTCACTCTGTTAAGAAGCACTCTTTCTTATTGATTTTGGGCTGCACCTGAAGCATGACTACAATTTTTTTCCCCAACAACCTGAATCTGCTCCTATTGATCAACTAATGCTGCCCTTCTGGCAAAATTTGCTATACCAAAAACACTGAGCAAGAAAAACGTGTATATGAAATAAAACACTGCTATGAGAAGAGGCCAGCAACTGGTGCTTGCTTATCTAATATCGCTGGTGAAGAAATAGACTTAAAAGGAACAAAAATTAGAAGGACTAGCCATTTTATGTTTCCTTTTACTCTCTACTTACTAATTAACTTCTATATAATTATGTGGTTAGATGTGTTTAAATAGCAACTTTCTATTTTCTTTTTATACAATTGTCCAGGAGGTCTGTTGGTGAAGTCCTTATCTGTGGAAGGTCTGCCTCTAGCTAAAAATAATTTTAGGTAGTGAAGCATAATAGTTAAGAACTTGTGCTCCGAGACAGATAGTTTTTGGTTTGTATCCTATCTTAGTCACTTAAAGGTTATATAATTTTGGCTAAATTCTTTAACATCTTTGATCTTTATTTTCCTCATCTGTAAAATGAAGATGTATGGTTGTCAAAAAAGAATGATTATGTGAATGATGAAAAGATCTGAAAAAATAAAAATGAAGCATCTGTAATGGCAAGGACATGAAAGCCAAATTGTCAAGGAGGCAATTGTTTAAAGTGAGAAACAACACTGTATTCTACCAGAGTTGCAGATTTCCCAGACCCCAAGTCCCCTAAATGAGGGTCTAGAATATCAGCTTCATTAGAATCTCAGCTTTGCCATCATCACAGGGGTTTTAAAATGGTCCCTTAATTCACAATTTTGAAGGATCAGGCTAAATGCCTGCCTGTTCACCAGGTACCATCAATTGATGCAAAACATTTCAGACTAATTCTGAGTTTCTACAATGAGTCTGGGTATATTACAGGTCAATTTTCTAACCATATCATCTCTCATCACACTCCAACATCTGGCTTTCCTTAGGCCCATTTCCACATATATAAAAGTGTAAGCCAAAAAAAAATTATTGTTAGAAAAGAAAGATTAAAGAATCAAATGAGCTACTGTATGGAATGTGCTTAGCACAATACCTGGCACACAGGAAATACTAGGCTGATGGTTACTGTATAGAAGAATGTCAACATAGTGAGCAGGGACATGATGTCTATAACAAAAATAAGGATATCTAATATGTCACCAAAAGAAAATTTCCATGGATATGTTAAATTTTGTCATTAATAAAGTACAACTATGTCAAATTCTGAAAGATTGAATATGCTGCATTATAAAGAATATTATTGAATTTTTCTTCAGCTTGCTCTGCAGTAACTGGCAGTAAATCATTTCTATCCTTAAGCTGGTAACTGTCTTCCTGCAATAAGAAGCTTTTTCCATTATTCCCAATGTGCAAATACATCCAGCAAATTTGGCCAAAGTTATTACATTTATCCCTCATGATTGTGTCACATGAAGCTTGGAATGCATCACGCTACTTTAGAGCTAGGGTCATTCCTTCATTAAAATGAGGACTTTTCAGGAACATAGATATTTATTCTTGCCATTTATTATGTGTTAAAATTTGTTATTTTGTGTTATAATTTACAAAGGAAAAGTAAAGACTGCTTTTGGAGTTCGGCTTTTCATGACCATGGTATTCACTTGCCATGGTTAATCCCCTATTCATGCTACATTCCTTCATCTTTGCACATGTGGTATTAGTCATTGCAGAAAAGGTATTTTGATTTTTCTTTCATTCAGTAAGGCTATTTAGGGTTTAGGAAAATGAATATTATTTACCTGCTCTTGATGTAATGGCTAGCCTTATACCACAGAATAGTTTTACTCACCCTTTCTTTCCATCAGCCACTTTGTCAATTCTAGCTTATTCTCTGAGAGACCCTTTCTCATGGAAACATTTATATAAAAATTAACATTTATTCACAATGTTGCAGTTAAATTTTGCTATTGGTAATGTTTTCATCACATAGATGCCATTTCCTATGGTGAGTTAACTAAGGGAGAGAGTCATTCTTCTTTTCGAATATGTACTGAGTGGGAGGGGAGGGGGGATTGAAAAATGACCAATTGGGTACAATGTTCACTATTTGGGTGATGGGTACACTAGGAGTCCTATCCCCACCATTATGGAATTGGTCCATACAACAAACATGCACATGTACCCCCTGAATGTGAAATAAAATTTTAAAAAGGAAATAAATGATAAACAAACAAAAATATGTATTCCAAAACCCTAATAGAAAGCTATCCATCCTCATGTGCTCAGAAAGAAAGGTTTAAAAACAATAATAATAATAATAATATAATAATAATAGTAAAGGATGATGCAAGGAAGAAAAGATCAGGAAAATAAAGGACGATGCAAGGATGGTGTGTATTAAGGCAGCTAACCGGGCTGCAGGAAACATTTTAGCCATATCTTCATAACTCAGATTTTAACTATGAGGTATTTGTGATTTCTCTGATGTGTATTATTCAAATCAAGCAGATATGGATGGATGAATAGACAAATAGACATACACACATATATGTATATTCTATCACCACTAGTGGGTACTTCTGTAAACATAACTCATTTGCATATCAACCTAATAACAAACACCTGAACCACATTCTACTGCCAGCTGCAGAATAATCAATATTGTTAATACAATGGGAAAAAGATATTCCTCAGAAAATATGAAGAAATAAAAAATATTTCCAAAACTGGGAGAAATAATATTCCAAAGTGTATTAAGCACATTTTAACCATCAGCGTGCAGTGTTTCTCAGAAAAGAAAAGCTATTCTATCATTCACTTGACTCATTTTAAAAAATTAAATTTATGTTATAACCTAAGAAGCATTCTAGCCATCAATTTCCTCAGATGAATGGTTTCAAATTTCAACAGGTCTAAGTATTATGTAAGGTGTTGCTAAAATGGAACACTTTTACCCTCAGAAAATTTGAATCAGAAATCTGCTATATTGTGACATAGATTCAGCATTTTAACACATTTCCCAGCAATCTGATACATTTATTAAGTACATATATTCTGAGTATTCTTATATATAATAAAATGGTTTTAAATTTTTTTTCAAAAATCTTATTGAAAAGAATAGTATATGTTAGAAACTGTGACAGTTTTGAGATAATACCCTGCTTACAAACTGAAAAATTGGGAACTATATACACATATACATATATACTACCTTTGGCCTACCATAGTTTTATGGATATTGACAGAAGACAAGATATTCCAGGGTAGGGACCAAGGAACTTTATTACCATGGCAAAGCAAGCAGCATAAGCTTTATGTGTGCATTAGTTCCCAATGCTCCCAAGACCCATGGGGCTATGCAAAGCAGCCCAGGTGGGTGCTTCACACACATTAGATTTGCATCAAAATTGGGGAGCCTCAATCTTTTAAAGGAAACTTCTAGCAAACTTGCTGAACTTGCAGTCTTTAGTGTAAGTGGCATTTTAAACATTGACATAAAATGTCCAAGAACTTTTTTTTTTAATCAGAAGAATCATCCACAATTTTCAACATATAGTTTTGTCTTAGACAAATGAATTTGTTTACCAAAAAGCAAAAATGTATGCACATAATAAGAGATAAAATACTAATTATTGCTTAAGTCATTTGAAGTTTAATTTTTATGACACAACGATTGAAACCAATATATCCTGAAATAAAAGGCAGCAGAATCTGCTAGTTCAAGAGCTTAGGGACTCTTAGCATTTTGAATAAAATGCAATATTCAAATATTCTCAAGTATCGCTTAACGGAGTGTTACATCAGATTACATTGAAGGTGTTTCTACAAGACCCTTTCAAGGTCCTTAAACATGGTTAGATATGGCATCTTTTATGATGTTCATTAATCCAATACTATTCATTGTAATTAATTTGCTTCCTCCTGGTGATAAAAATATAATATGCTAGAAAGAATTGTGAATTGCAAGGTATTTTTTTTTATTTTATTTTTTGCTGCTTTCTTGGAAAAGTTATTGAATCCGCAAGGAGTTCTCTTTGAAATGTAATTTTAGTGTGATTTAGACTTCCTGGCAGTTTTCCTGGTATCTCTGGAAACACTGATCTTCTCTCCCCTTCTTCTTCTGAGCACTTTCAAGTATCATATATCTTTTTCTGTGCCCCCCAAGGTCTAACTTGTGGCTTAGCATAGACACAATAACCAGAGTCTCACAAGTGAGATGCTCATAAACTGTCTGAACTTTGAGCTAAGCAGATAATCTCAGAGGAAACCACATTTAAAAAAAAGATATAAAGGCCTGTGTTAATATCAGGTTTCTATAGATCATTTTAACGTACTTTTCCAAATCTCTTAAAGTGTGTTCAGTAAGCTATGCACCAATGTTATTTGGAAGGTTTGCTCCATGCAGCAAAATTATGACTTTTTTAGCTTTACTGTAGTATATAATTGAAAACAAAAATTAAATATATATGAGGTATACAATGTGATGTTTTGATATACATGCACACTATGAAATGATTGCCACAATGCAATCAATGATTATATCCATCACCTCACATAGTTACCTTTGTGTGCTGAAAATATAGGTTAAGTATTCCTAATCCAAAAATTTAAAATCCAAAATGCTCAAAATCCAAAACTTTTTGAGCACTGATGTGGTGTTACAAGTGAAAAATTTCACCCCGATCTCAAAATTATTTAAAATACTTTTAAAAATTACCTTCAGCCTGTGTGTATAAAGTGTATAAAAAACAAAAATGAATTTCATGTTTAGACTTCAGTCACCTCCCAAGACATATCCATAAAATATATCATTATGTATATGCAAACATTCCAAAATCTGAAAAACTCCAACTCTAAAATGCTTCTGGTCCCAAACATTTCGGATAAGGGATACTCAACCTGTATCTAAGACCTACTATCTTGGCAAATTTCAAAAATACATTATTAAACATAGTCACTAGGGTATGCATTAGGTCTCCAGAATTTACTCATAACTGAAAGTTTGGTCCTTGTAACCAACATCTCATTTTACCTGCTCCTGAAATGCAAGTCCCTGGTAACCATCATTCTACTCTCTGTTTTTATGAGTTGGACTTTTTTTAGATTTTACATATAGATGATATTATGTAGTATTTGTCTTCTGTGTCTTACTTCACTTAGCATAATGCCCTCCAGGTAAACCTACATTGTTACAAATGACAAAATACCCTTCTTTTTAAAGGCTGAATAAAGTTATATTATATAGATATTGATTTAGACATAGATAATTGACAGATAGATAGATGATTGATAGATAGATAGATCACATTTCTGTATCCATTCGTCCATCAGTGGACATTTAGGTTATTTCCATATCTTGTCTATTGTGAATAATGCTGCAATGAACGAGTAAGTGTAAATATCTCTTTGACATACTGATTTCATTTCCTTTGGGTATATATCCAGAAGTGGGATTGCTGCATTATATGGTAGTTTTATTTTTAATTTTTTGAAGAAGCTTCGTACAGTTTTTTCATAATGGCTGAACCAATTTATATTTTCATGAACCATATATAAAGGTTCCCTTTTCTCTACACCCCTTCCAACCCTTTTTATATTTTGTCTTTTTTATAATAGTCATTCTAAAATGTTCGAGGTATTTTACTGTTGTTTTAATTTGCAATTCCCTGATTATTAGTGATGGTGAACATTTTTTTCATACACTTTTTGACAAATTGTATGCCTCCTTTTGAAGCCTCCAGCTTGGTTCTACTTCCTCAAAATTATTTTAGCTATTTTTCATCTTTTGTAATTCCATACATATTTTAGGATTTTCTTTTCTGTGAAAAATACTTTTGGAATTTTGATAGATATTTGGTAGATCACTTTTGGAAATAACTATTCATATCCTTTACCCATTTTAACCAGATTATTTGTTTTCTTGCTATTGAGTTATTTGAGTTCTATATGCATTTTGGGTATGAACTCCCTTATTAGATATATGATTTGCAAATGTTTTCTCTTATTCAATGGGTTATCTTTTCATTTTTTAATTGCTCCCTTTCTTGTGCAGATATTTTAGTTTGATGACATTCTGCTTGATCATATTTTGCTTTTGTTGCCTGTGTTTTTGGTGTCATATCCAAGAAACATTGCCATGATCAATGTCAATGAGTTTTTCTCCTGGGTTTTCTTTTAGGAGGTTTATGGTTTTAGGTCTTATGTTTAAATCTTTAATCCATTTTAAATTGATCTTTGTATATGGTATGGATATGGATCTCATTTCACTTTTTACTTGCACATGGATATTCAGTTTTCCCAACAGTATTTATTGAAGAGATTGTCCTTTCCTCATTGTGTATTCTTGGTTTTCTTTGTTGAAGATTAGTTGACCCTATATACATGAGTTTATTTCTGGGATTTCTATTCTCTTTCATTGACCTATGTACCTCTTTTTATCCCTACAATACTGTCTTGATTACTATACCATTATAATATAATTTGAAATCAGTAGTGCAATGCCTCCAGCTTTGCTCTACTTTTTCAAGATTCTTTTTATAAATTTCAACTTTTATTTTAGATTCTCGGGGTACATGTGCAGGTTTGTTACATGGGTATATTGTGTGATGCTAAGGTTTGGGATTCAAATGATCCCATAATCCACGTAATGAGCATAGTAACAAACAGTTTGTTTTAAAACTCTTTCCCCTCCTCCCTCCCTAAT
The DNA here is from genome assembly GCF_000001405.40 of Homo sapiens. NCBI lineage: Eukaryota > Metazoa > Chordata > Mammalia > Primates > Hominidae > Homo > Homo sapiens. Next base: position 91,574,738 of record NC_000004.12, on the reverse strand, counting down.
GTCCCTGGTAGTCCCTAATGTCTATTGTTGTCATTTTTATGCCCATGATGTTTAGCTCCTACTTATAAGTGAGAACATGAGGTATTTAGTTTTCTATTCCTGCAATAATTTGCTTAGGATAATGGACTCCAGCTGCATCCATGTTGCTGCAAATGACATAATCTCATTCTTTTTTACATCTGTGTATACTCCATGGTGTATATGTACCAAATTTTCTTTATCCAATTCAGTGTTAATGGGCACCTAGATAGATTCCATGTCTTTGCTATTGTGAATAGTGCTGTGATTAACATACGAGTGCATGTGTTTTTTTGGTAGAATGATTTTCTTTTTAGATACATATCCAGTAATGGGATTGCTGGGTCAAATGGTAGTTCTGTTTTAAGTTCTTGAGAAATGTACACACTGTTTTCCACAGTGGCTAAACCAATTTAAATTTCCACCAACACTGAATATATGTATAAGCATTCATTTTTTTTTTTCCAGAACCTCAGTAGCATCTGTTTTTTGACTTTTTAATAATAGTAATTTCCTCAAAATTATTTTAGTTCTTCAGTACCTTATATGTTTCCTTGCAAATTGTTGAATTGCTTTTTTTCAATGTCTGTGAAAATTTCTCTTGAAATTTTGATAGAGATTTGGTAGATCACTTTGGGTAGTAGGAATATTTAAAAAATATTAATTATTCCAATCAATGGAACAATAGATATTGTTCCATTTATTTATGTCCTCGATTTCTCTCATCAATGTTTTATGGTTTTCAATGTGCAGATCTTTCACCTCCTTGGTTAAATTTATGCTAAAGTATTTTATTCGTTTTGATGCAATTTTAAGTGGGATTGCTTTCTTAATTTCTTTTTTGAATAGTTCATTGTTAGTGTATAAAAACAGAACTGGGTGGGGAGTGCCCAAGATGGCCAACTAGAAGCAGCTAGTGTGCATGGTTCTCACAAAGAGGAATGGAAGGGGCAAGTAAATACAACACCTTCAACTGAAACATCCAGGTACTTGCATTGGGACTAATCAAGGAAACAACTTGATCCATGGAAAACAAAGAAAAGCAAAGCAGGGCAACGGTCCACCTGGTAGCATCACGAAGCCAGGGAAACCTCCCCAACTCTGGGAAGTGCTGAGTGAATGTGTGAATTGGGAACTACACTTCTCCTATGGATCTTTGCAATCCTTGGGTCAGGAGATCTCCTTGTGAACCCACTGCACTCCACCAGGGCCTTCAATCTGACAGAGCTATGCAGACTCTTGGCAGAGAAGCCACTCAGGCATGCGTGGAGACCCTGGAGCCTTAGGTCCTTGGACTTTCCAGCAAAGTAGGAGGTTACACCCCTGTGTATACTACTAGGAAAGAGGGTGAATCCAGGGGGCTGAGCAGTGACAGCCTGCAGGATTTACTTCCTTGGTGTCTCACAAGATAAGACCCACTGACTTAGAATTCCAGCCAGCCACCAATGGCAGCATTGTATCTCCCTAAGAAAGAGCTCCTGTTGGGAGGGGGTGGAACACCATCCTTACTGTTTGGGTGCCTTAGCCAATCCAGCCTTCAGGTTTTGGAGTACAAGCCAACCAGGGTTGGAGGGGTTCCCCCCAGCACAGCACAACTGCTCTACCACAATGTGGTCAGACTGCCACTTTAAGAGGGTTCTCAATCCCGTTCCACCTCACTGGGAAGGACCTCCCAAACTGGGCCTCCAGCCTCTCACCTCCATGTTTTCCAGCAGACAAAGATTTGAATTCTCCCTGAGATGGAGCTCCCAGAGGGAGGGGCAGGCCACCATCTTTGCTGTTTGAGTGACTTAGCTGATCCAGCCTCTAGGCTTTGAAGAGTCCCAGCTGACTAGGGGTGGAGGGATGCCTAAGTACAGCACAGCTGCTCTACCAAGAAATGGACAGGCTTCTTCTTTTTTTTTTTTTTTTATAGATTTTTAGTAGAGACAGGGTTTTGACATGTTGCCCAGGCTGGTCTTGAACTCCTGAGCTCAAGCTATCCACCCACCTTGGCCTCCCAAGATGCTGGGATTACAGATATAAGCCATCATGCCCAGCCCAGACTGCTTCTTTAAGCCAGGTCCCCAGTCCCACTTCTCACTGTGTGGGACCTCCCAACTGGGGCCTCTGGCTATACCTGCAGGTGTTCTCTGGCAGAAAGAGAGTTGAATTCTCCCTGGGATAGCAATCTCAGAGGAAGCACCAGGCTACCGTCTTTGCCGTTTGCCTGACATCACTGTTCCAGCCTTTGGTCATCGAAGTGTTTGAGGCAACCAGGAATTGAACTGAATCAGTCTGGCAGTGGCCAGACTGATTTTTTAAGTGGGTCCCTGATCCCATTCCTCCTCACTGGGCTGGACCTACCAACCAGGGTAGCCAGCCACCTCCTACAGGTGTCTTTTGGTCAGCAACAGGCCTGTACCTCCCTAGGATGAAGCTCCCAGAGAGATGGACAGGCTGCTATCTTCACTGTTTCACAGCCTTCTCTGGTGATACCACCAGGTATGGGAAAATTTGAAGTGACTAGAGACTGGAGCTGGCCCAAGTATATTGCAACAGTCCTACAAAAAAGTGGCCAGATTATTAAATGGGTACCCATTCCCGTATTTTCTCACTGGGCAGATCCTCCAGCTCTGTGTCCCCAGTCACCCCACCAGAGTTATCGAGCCAGTAGCAACTTGGCAACTCCCTGAACAGAGCCTTAACGGGCAATTGAAAGCCTCTCTGCCACTGCCTCTGCTGCAGAACTGCGCTTGCCACCCTCGAACTAATGAAGGAGAAATGATCCTAAATGTCTATCTATACCTCCAACAAGTTGCAGTAGACCCAAGGAGAGGAGGCCAGTCCATATCCCATGGGTCACACACCACGAGTCTATACACACCCCACCACTGCTCATCACCAGACAAGGAACCTCTGGCCTGGGCCCACAACACAGACCCTCCATCCTAGGCTGATTGCACTGAGCAACTGATGGCCTACATCTCTGTGGGATGGACCCCTGATATAGCTTAGCTGTGTCCCCACTCAAATCCCATCTTGAATTCTATAATAGTTTCCATTATCCCCACATGTCATAGGGACCCAGTGGGAGGCAACTGAATCATAGGGGCAGTTTTCCCCCATGCTGATCTCATGATAGTGAGTTCTCATAAGATCTTATGGTTCTATAAGTGTCTGGCATTTACCCTGCTGGCATTCATTCTCACTCCTGCTGCCCTGTGAAGAGGTGCCTTCTGACATGATTGTAAGTTTCCCAAGGCCTCCCCAGCCATGTAAAACTGTAAGTCAATTAAATCTCTTTTCTTTATAAATTACCCAGTCTCAGATATTTCTTGATAGCAGCCTGAGAACAATCTAATAGAGTAAATTGCTACCACAGAGTGTGGGGTGCTGCTATAACGATACCAAAAATTGTGGAAGCAACTTTGGAACTAGGTAATAGGCAGAGGTTGGAACAGTTTGGAGAGCTCAGAAGAAGATAGGAAAATGTGAGAAAGTTTGGAATGTCCTAGAAAGTTGGAGGGCTCAGAAGACGAGAAAATGTGGCAAAGTTTGGATCTTCCTAGAGACTTGTTGAATGGCTTTGGCCAAAATGCTGATGGTGATATGGACAATGAAGTCCAGGCTGAGGTGGTCTCAGATGGAGATGAGAAACTTGTTGGGAACTGGAGTAAAGGTCACTCTTGCTACACTTTATTAAAGAGACTGGTGGAATTTTGCCCCTGCCCTAGAGATCTGTGGAACTTTGAACTTGAGAGAGATGATTTAGAGTATCTGATGGAAGGAATTTCTAAGCAGGAAAGTGTTCAAGAGGAAGCATAAAAGTTTGGAAAATATGCAGCCTGATGATGCAATAGAAAAGAAAAACCCATTTTCTGAGGAGAAATTCAATACCCCTGGAGAAATTTGCATAAGTAATGAGGAGCCAAATGTTAATCAGCAAGACAATGGGGAAAATGTCTCCAGGGCATGTCAGAGACCTTCATGGCAGCCCCTCCCATCACAGACCCAAAGGCCTAGGAGGGAAAAATGGTTTCCTGGGCCAGGCCCAAAGCCACTCTGTTCTATGCAGCCTTGAGACATGGTGCCCTGCATACCAGCTGCTTCAGCTTCAGCCTTGGCTAAAGGGGGCCAAGGTACAGCTTGGGTCGTGGCTTCAGAGGGTGCAAGCCCCAAGCCTTGGTGGCTTACACATGTTGTTTGGCCTGCAGGTACATAGAAGTCAAGAACTGAGGTTTGGGAACCTCCACCTAGATTTCAAAAGATGTATAAAAACACCTGGATGTCCAGGCAGAAATTTGCTGCAGGGGAGGAGCCTTCATGGAGAACCTCTGCTAGGGCAGTGCAGAAGTGAAATGTGGGGTTAGAGCCCCCACATAGAGTCCCCACTGGGGCACTGCCTAGTGGTGCTATGAGAAGAAGGCCACATCCTCCAGGCCCCAGAATGGTAGACCCACTGACAGCTTCCACTGTGTACCTGGAAAAGCCAAAGGCACTCATGCCAACCCATGAAAGCAACCAGAACTGGGGCTAGACCCTGAAAAGCCACAGGGGCAGAGCTGCTCAAGGTCTTGGAAGCCCACCTCTTGCATCAGCATGACCTGGAAGTGAGACTTGGAGTCAAAGGAGATCATTTTGCAGCTTTAAGGTTTGATGACTACCCTATTGGATTTTGGACTTGTATGGGGCCTGGAGTCCCTTTGTTTAGGCCAATTTCTCCCATTTGGAATGGGTGTATTTACCCAGTGCCTTTTCCCCCATCATATCTAGGAAGTAACTAACTTGCTTTGGATTTTACAGGCTAATAGACAGAAGGGACTTTCCTTGTCTCCCATGAGACTTTGGACTTGAATTTCTGGAATGTTCTAAGACTGCAGGGAACTGTTAGAAAGGCATTATTATGCTTTTAAATGTGAGGACATGATATTTGGGAGGAGGCAGGGGCAGAATGATATGGTTCGGCTGTGTTCCAGCCAACATCTCATCTTGAACTGTTGTTCCCATGATCCCCATGTTTTTTGGGGGGGACCTGGTGGGAGATAATTGAATGATATGGCAGTTACCCCCATGCTGTTCTCATGAAAGTGAGTGAGTTCTCATGAGATCTGATGATTTTATAAGCATCTGGCATTTACCCTGCTGGCACTCATTCTCTCTCCTGCCATTTTGGGAAGAGGTGCTTTCTGCCATGATTGTTAAGTTTCCTGAGGCCTCCCCAGCCATGTGGAATTGTGAATCAATTAAACTTTTTTAAATAAAGTACTCAGTCTCTGGTATTTCTTCACACAAGCATGAGAACAGCCTAATACAAGCCCCCAGGAGACAACCAAACAATCCTCAGCTCCAACCACTACTAAGATCCTTTCCTCTTCTACCTCCAAGTTGGGGCAGGAACAAAAACACTGAGATTGCCCCAGGCAGCCCAGAGTGTCAAGTTGCAATCTACAGCCAGCACTCAAGGGGAGAGGAACCCACACTTTCAGAGCAATGAGAAGGAACATGGCTGCAACTGTGAGGAAGCACAAGGGAGCCACACAACCAAACAAGGGTCTACCAACTCAACAATAAGCCCATGTGCCAACTGCTGTATCATGCTCCAAAGATCCAACACCAAAAATACCTCACTAATGTACCACCTTCTGAAACCAGAGACAAGAAGACAGCTTCAAATAAAGGCCCTACATAAAGCCTTGGCCTGGTGAGAACATCCAGAAAAGAAGTCTGTTGATTCCACTCAATCCACACTGCAGTTAAAGGAACAACCACATGCAGAGATGAGAAAGAACCAGTGCAAGAACTCCTGTAACTCAAATGGCCAGGGTGTCACATGTCCTCCAAATGACCTCACCATTTCTCCAACAAGATTTTTTAACCAGGCTGAACTGGCTGAGATGATAGAAATAGAATTCATAATATGGATAGAAAAAAAAATCATCAAGATTCAGGAGATGGCTAAACCCAGTCTAAGGAAAATAAGAATCAGAACTAAGAATATAGGAGCTGAATGATGAAATAGCCAGTATAAAAAGGACTTAATGGGTCTGACAGAGCTGAATAACACCATACAAGAATTTCACAATGCAATCCCAAGTATTAACAGCAGAATAAACTAAGCTGAGGAAAGAATCTCAGAACTTTAAGACTGGTTTTCTGAAATAAGACAGCGGACAAAAATAAACAAAAATAAAAATGAATGAACAAAACTTCCAAGAAGTATGAGATTATATGAAGAGGCCAAATCAATGAATCACTGGCTTCCCAGAAAGGAAAGGGTAGAAAGCAAACAACTTGGAAAACATAATTCAGGATATCGTCCATGAAAAATATCCAAACCTTGTTAGAGAGGCCAACAGTCAAATTCAGGAAATACAGAGAATCTCTGCAAGATTCTACACAAGAAGATTACCCCCAAGACACATAATCATCAGATTTTCTAAGGTCACAATGAAAGCAAGAATGTTAAAGGCAGCTTAGAAAGAAAGGGCAGGTCACCTACAAAAGAAATTCCAGCAGGCTAACAGCGAACCTCTCAGCTAAAACCCTACAAGCCAGAAGAGATTGATACTCATATTCAACATTCTTAAAGAAGAAAATCTTCAACCAAAAATTTTATACTCAGCCAAACTAAGCTTCCTAAGTGAAAGGTAAATAATATCCCTTTCAGATAAGCAAATCTTGAAGGAATTCATTACCACCAGACTTGAAAGGAGAACTAAATATAGAAAGAAAAGACCTCTACTAGCTAATACAGAAACACAATTAAACACAGAGACCAGTGTCACTGTAAAGCAACCACAAAAACAAGCCAACATAATAACCAGCTAACATCACAATGATAGGATGAAATCCATACATATCAATACTAACCTTGAGTGTAAATGGGCTAAATGCCCCATTTAAAATGCAGAGTGGCAAGCTGTGTATGAAAGCAAGACTCAGTGGGTAGCTGTCTTCAAGAGTCCCATCTCACATGTAATAACAGTCAGAGGCTCAAAGGGATGGAGGAATAAAGAAAATGGAAAATAGAAAAAAAACAGGGGTAGTAATCCTTATTTCAGACAAAACAAATTTCAAACCAACGAAGATCAAAAAACCCAAAGGGCATTACATAATGGCAAAGAATTCAATTCAACAAAAGACCTAACTATATTAAATATATATGCACACAACACAAGAGCACCCAGATTCATAAAGCAAGTTCTTAGAGATCTACAAAGAGAAACAGACTCCCACACAATAATAGTGGGAGACTTCAGCACTTCACTGACAGTATTAGATAACTGAAGCAGAAAATTTAATAAACATATTCAAGACCTGAATTCAACATTGGACCAAATGGATTGGATAGACCTTTACATAACTCTCCACCTTAAAACAACAAAATATACATTCTTCTCATCACCACATGGCACATACTTTAAAATCAACCACATAATTGAACATAAAACAATCCTCAACAAATGTAAAAGAAATGTAATCACACCAAACATACTCTCAGATCATAGTGCAATAAAAATAGAAGTCAAGACAATGAAAATTGCTCAATACCATGTGATTACATGGAAATTAAACAACATGCTCCTGAATGACTTTTGGGTAACTAATGATATTAAGGCAGATATAAAGAAGTTCTTTGAAAATAATGGGAACAAATATACAATATACCAGAATCTCTGGGACACAGCTAAGGCAGGGAAATTCATAGCACTAAATGTCCACAGCAAAAGTAAGTTAGAAAGATCTCAGTGAACAACCTAACTTCACAACTGAAAGAAGTAGAGAAGCAAGAACAAATCAACCCCAATGCTAGCAGAAGATGAGAAATAATAAAAATCAGAGCTGAACTGAAGGAAACAAAGACATGAAAAACCATTCAAAAGATCAATGAATTCAGGAGTTGGTTTTTTGAAAAGTTAATAAAATAGATAGGTTACTAGCTATACTAATAAAGAAGAATAGAGAGAAGATCCAAATAAACACAATTAGAAATGATAAAGAAAATGTTACAACTGACCCCACAGAAATAAAAACAACCATCAGAAACTATTATGAACACCTCTACACACACAAACTAGAAAATCTAGAAGAGATGGATAAATTCCTGGACATATACATCCTCTCAAGACTGAGTCAGGAAGAAATTGATTCCCTGAACAGATCAATAAAAAGCTCCCAAATTGAATCAGTAATAAACAGCCTACCAGCCAAATAAAGCCTAGGACCTGATGGATTAACAGCTGAATTCTACCAGATGCTCAAAGAAGAGGTAGTGTCATTCCTACAGAAACTATTCCAAAAAATTGAGGAGGAGGGGCTCCTCCCCAACTCATTCTATGAGGCCAGCATCATCTTGATACCAAAACCTGGCAGAGACAAAACAAAGAAAGAAAACTTAGTCCAATATCCTGGATCAACATCAATGCAAAATCCTTATCAAAATACTTGCAAATCAAATCCAGCAGCACATCAAAAAGCCAATCCACCATGCACAAGTTGGCTTCATCCCTGGAATGCAGGGTTGGTTCAATATATGCAAATCAATAAATGTGATTCATCACATCAACAGAACTAAAGACAAAAACCACATGATTATCTCAATAGACACAGAAAAGGCCTTTGATAAAATTCAACACTCCTTCATGTCAAAAACTCTCAGTAAACTAGGTATTGAAGGAACATAACTCAAAATAATAAGAGCTATCTATGACAGTCCCACAGCCAGCATTATACTGGACAGGCAAAAGCAAGAAGCATTACCCTTGAAATCAGGCACAAGACAAGCATGCCTTCTCCCACCACTCCTATTCAACATAGTATTGGAAGTCCTACACAGAGCAATCAGGCAAGAAAAAGGAATAAAGGGCATCCAAATGGGAAGACAGGAAGTCAAACTATCTCTGTTTTAGATAACATAATTCTATATCTAGAAAACCCTAGCCCAATAGCTGCTCCAGCAGATAAACAACTTCAGCAAATTTGCAGGATACAAAATCAATGTACAGCCTCACTAGCATTTTGATACTTCAATAACAGCCAAACTGAGAGCCATATCAGAAAGGCAATCCCATTCACAATTGCCACAAAAAGAATAAAACACCTAGGACTACAGCTAACCAAAGAGGTGAAAGATCTCTACAATGAAATAATAAAAAACTGCTCACAGAAATCAGAGAAGATACAAACAAATGGAAAAAAAATCCCATGGTCATAAATAGGAAGAATCAATATCTTTAAAATGGCTTTTCTGCCTAAATCAATTTACAGATTCAATACTATTCTTATCAAACTATCAATGATATTCTTCATAAAACTAGAAAAAATAATTTTAATTTCATATGGAACCATAAAAGAGCCTGAACAGCCAAGGCAATCATGAACAAAAAGAACAAAGCTGGAGGCAACATGTTACCTGACTTCAAACTACACTACAAGGATACAGTAAACAAAACAGCATGGTACTGGTACAAAACCAGACACATAGACCAGTGGAGCAGAACAGAGAACCCAGAAATAAGGCTGCACATTGGCAACCATCTGATCTTCAACAAAGCTGACAAAACCAAGCAATGGGGAAAAGACTCTCTATTCAATAAATGGTGCTGAGATAACTGGCTAGCCATATGCAGAAGATTGAAGCTGGACCCCTTCTTCACATCACACACACACACACACACACACACACACACACACACACACACACACACACACAACTCAAGGTGCATTAAAGACTTAAATTTAAAACCCAAGATGATAAAAACCCTGAAAGACAACCACAGCAATACCATCCTGGACACAGGAACAGGCAAGGATTTTATGATAAACATACCAAAAATAATCACAAAAAAAGCAAAAATTGACAAGTGGGATCTTCTGCACAGCAAACAAAACTATCAGCAGCATAAACAGACAACAGAATGGGAGAAAATATTTGCAAACTATGCTTCTGAAGAAGGTCTAATATCCAGCATTGATAAGGAACCTAAACAAATTAACAAGAGAGAAACAATAGCATTAAAAAGTGGGAAAATGAACAAACACTTCTCTAAAGAAGGCACACATGTGGCCAACAACATTAAAAAAAAGCTCAGTAGCACTGATTAGAGAAATGCAAATCAAAACCACAATAAGACACCATCTCACACCAGTTAGAAGGGCTAATTATGAAAAAGTCAAGAAAGAACAGATTCCAACAAGGTTGCAGAGAAAAGGAACCCTTATACACTGTTGGTGGGAGTGTAAATTAGTTCAACCATTGTGGAAAGCAGTATGGTAATTCCTCAAAGAGCTAACAGCAGAACTGCCATTTGACCTAGCAATCCCATTACTGGGTGTATACCCAGAGGAATATAAATCATTCTACTATGATGACACATGTACGGGTATGTTCATTGTGGCACTATTCACAATACCAAAGACATGGAATCAACCTAAATGCCCATCAATGACAGATCGGATTAAAAAAATGTGGCCTATATACACCATGGAATACTATGTCTTCATAAAAAAAAGAACGAGATTATGTCTGTCTTTTGCAGTAACATGGATGAAGCTGGAGACAATTATCCTTAGCAAACTAATGCAGGAACAGAAAACCAAATACCTCATCTTCTTACTCATAAGTGGGAGCTAAATGATAAGAACTTATAAACACAGAGTAGAAAACAACAGACACTGGGGTCTATTAATGGGGGAGGCTGGGAGTAGGGAAAGGAGCAGAAAAGATAACTACTGGGTACTGGGCTTAATACCTGAGTGATGAAATTATATTTATAACAAACTATCATGACACGTGTTTACCTATGAAACAAACCTTCATATGTATCACCAAATCTAAAATTTAAAGTTTAAAAAACAGAACTAACTTTGTATGCTTATTTTGCATCCAGCATCCTACTGAATTTGCTTATTAGTTCCAACAGGTTTTTGGTGAAATCTTTAGAATTTTCTCTGTATGAGAGCATGTCCTTTGCCGAAAGAGACAATTTTACTTGCTTCTGATTTGGATGTCTTTTATTTCTTTTTCTTATATAACTGCTCTGGTTACGATGTCAAGTACTATGTTGAACAGAAGTGACAAGAGTAGGCATTCTTGTCTTGTTTCTCTAATCTTAGAGGGAAAACTCTCAGCTTTTCACCACTGAGTATTATGTTAACTGTGGGATGGTCTCATATAGCCTTTATTGTGTTGTAGATATGGAACACTGTGTGTGTAGATATGGAACACTATATCTAATTTGCAGAGAGTTTTGATCATGAAAGGATGTTGACTTTTTTTCAAATGCTTTTTCTGCATCTGTTGAAAGGATCATATGATTTTCATCCTTCATTCTGTTAATGGGGTAGATTACATTTATTGATTTGTGTATGTTGAACCATCTTTGCATCTCATGGATAAATTCCACTTCATCATGGTGAATCATCCTTTTTGATATGCTATTGAATTCAGTTACCTAGTATATTGTTGAGAATACTTGCATCTATTTTATCAGAGATATTGGCATGTAATTTTCTTTTCTTGTGGTGTCCCGGCCTGACTTTAGTATTAGGGTAATGCTGGCCTTGTAAAATGAGCTTGGAAGTATTTCCTTCTTTTCTTTATTTTGGAACCATTTGAGAAGGACTGGCATAAATGTTTGGTAGAACTTAAAAATAAAGCCATCATGTCTGCTTTGCTTTGATGGGAGATTTTTTATTACTAATTCAATTTCCTTACTTGTTATTGGCCTGCTCAGGTTTAAAATTATGACTTTTTAATTGCACATATATTGAGTTTGGCATGAACATTATCAATTCAGCAAACTTATTTTCAAAACTCACTCCTGTTCTACAACTTGTTAGACTCTCAAACGTCTTTATGTAATTTGTCTCATAATAATGTTGATGACATTATTTCATTTCCTGAAAAGTCTTCACATCAAATATTTCCTCTTTAAACTATTTAAATAAAATACGTTACAATATCATTTTGAATGAGAAGTATTTGCCATTTCAAAATAATTTTATTATTAGCTATCACTATAAGTACAATCTAAAACTCTCTGCATGGAAGATCCTACTCTGAAAATGGCTATGCTAAACAATGAACACTTTCATTCAATTTCTTTTTGGCCATCAGCATATAGAGTCTAAGTGGGTCTACAATTCTTGACTCTGGAACAAGGGTTCTGAATCAGTAGGTCTTGTGCTGCCTCCATCTATTTAAAATTTAAATTTGGCATGTTTACACAGGACAACAGCTGCTCTGTTTGCAAGAGGTAGAACATGGAAAGAAGATAAACCCTTATTCCATCCAAGGCACACACAACAGCTTGAAGGAGAATATTCTGAAAACAATGATACTTAGTACAGACTATAGAAAAAGTTATATAAAGATACTTAGTACAGACTACAGAAAAAAGTTATATAAGGTCTGCTTTAAGAATTTTTAAGGGTGACATTACAATAATCCAATTTTAAAGACATAAAAGTTCACAATTTTGAAAAAAAACACTTCAATATGTCTCATGAAAACAGTGGTTCTTAACTTTTCAATATCTTAAAATGTTATAATAGCAAGATATTTTGAATTTCAGTGATTGACAAAAGAAAATAACTTTGGTAAAATGTGATTGAAGTTACATTAACCTTAACCCTATTTTCTAGATGTCTGACACATCATCAGTGGAGTACAATTCTCACTGAAATCACCATTTCCCTTATGTATATGAGATCCAGTTCATCCAAGTCCTGAATAAACTATGAAACTGCTCTTATGAGGTCAGATAAAATAAGATGTAGAGCTATATAATCACACAAAAATAAATATTGCCCTGAAAAGAATTTTACTTAATGTATAGTTAAATTTTACCCATGATATACCCATAGAAGAAATCTAAGAATTATATGTTCATAAGAGTGCTCCTTTTGAGAATTTTAGGAGTAGATATGTGACAGCTATAAAGAAACTGAAAAAAAAATTCAGCAGCAGAAACAGCTTTCATCCTATGCAAGAGTTTAAATCCATTTTTGATTTGTCTGCTTTTTAGAAATAAAAACATTTATTGATTTCCTACTAAATTCCAGGCACCATTCTAGCCATTGGTGATGTAACTGTGAACAAGATCAAGATTTTCCCCTCATGGGGCTTAAATTTCTATGTAAAGGGGACTGAAAATCACCCGTAAATACATATATCATGTATTGCTAAAGGCTGTAAATAAAATTACTAAGTATAATGAGCTAAAGAATGACTACATGAGGGATCAGGGGATAATCTCACTGACTAGTGAGAAAAATCCTCTCAAAGGAAGTAAATTTTGACTTGAAACTTAAATCATGAGTAGAGGCAGCCCAGATAAAGGTCTCAGAATAGAGAACCCCAGGAAAAACTAACAATATTTGTAAAAGACTTCAGAATCAAATATGACACCCAAGTGTATTTGCAGAGGGGGAAGTGAATGAAAACTGTATAAAACAAGGTCAGAAAAGTTGTCAGGAATCACATTATGTAGCCTCATGGTAAGGACCATTTTCCATTTTAGATATATTACAGTACAGGAAGAAGTTTTAAGCAGAGGAGTGATGGGTAAGACACGACACTTTGAGAACACAATTTTGGCTTCTGTATATACAGAGGATATTCCAGGTTGGAGTGAGAATAGTAGGCTATTGTTATAGGTTAGGAGAGAGATGACTTGGAATTTTAAAGCTTTACAAATACATGTATTTAAAGTACAAGTTTGGGTTTTTCATATAGTTTTACTTTCAGGTTTTGGAGTCAGTAGTTTGCTTTCAGTTATTAAATCTTTGTACAGGTCCTTGGAAATGTGTAAGCACTAGCTCTGTATCTATGATGTCTACTGGATAGAACACTCTTGATGTTACTTTTTCTTTAATTCTAAAGAACAATATGTTGTTCTTTATAATTAGGTATCACGTGAAGTAATCTGAGCATAATAAACTACTGGAAAAGAAAAGCACTTGAGAAGCTTAAAACTCTGGTCAAATTCACAGGAAAAGTAGGCTAGATATGAGTGAATAATTTGCCATAAAGAAATCAATTACTATTTGAGGTTAAGCAATTGTTAATTCGGTAAATATATACTGATGGGTGCTCTTTACCAGACATTGTGTTTGTTATTAAACGATTGAGCATACAGCAAGAAATAAAAATTGACCTGCAACTTGACCTCATAAAGCTTTTGAATTTTTAAAATATATAGTTAAATTAATAGCCTGCCAGCTATTAATGAACAAATGTTCCATCCATGGGGAGAAAATTGTTTTGTTTTAAATAAGAATAATATTACTGTATGTTCATATATCAATGGGATAATCCATTTAGTCAACATTTAATTACTAATCACCCACTATGTTTCAGACAAAATATCAATGCCAAATAATCAAGCTTCAAAAGGAAAAACAAAGTATATATTTGATAACATTGCTGAAAAGTGTTTGTTTCCTTTTAACTGCTTCAACAATAGTGCACAAACTAAATAATGTTGTTCTGTCAAGTAAACTGAGAAAGAATTGGAAATTATATGGTAGCAACATCAATCTAACTACCACATTATGTAATTGATTTTGCCTTGGTAACAGTGATGAAAATGGGACTTTTTTTTCAATAAAGCAACATATTTTATTACCTTGAGTGACTAGAGTATATGTATCTAGCATTTAAAACAATATCTATTTATCTATTTATTCATTATCCAATCAGTTTACCTACTCATCTGTCAATTGATGACACATGTAATAAAAAGCCTTGTCAAAAAGTAATATTGTCAAAATTTGATTTCTTATATTTTTCCTACTCTTTTAAATTTTCAGTTTTTCCTTTTTTCATTACATTTACCAATGACACCCACTGGCCAAAACATAAAGTAATAGAATAAGACCATTTTTATTTAGATCACTAATGGTTAAGATATTACAATATGATACTATTTAAAATATGTACAACTTACATTAGAAAAAATAAATATAATTTTTCTAATAATGACTTATAAAGCAACATGGATGAGAATAATATACCTCTTTGTAATTGGAAATTATTATTTTAATAATTTACTCACAAATTTTCTTAAGGCAATTAAGATATCTCTTGGGAATAACTGGAGTTTGATTTTCATGTTTCTATGTTTTATGAAAAATATAAATTCATAAATATAAAGTAATCCAGAATTGTCATCCCTACTCCCCTGGATTCAAAAAAAATGGCCAGATGGATTAGTAAACCCCTTTTGGTTAGTGCAGGTGTCAAGCCCAGTGCTAGGAGAGCTGAAATATCCCAGGGGGAAAAATATTCCTTCATCTTAATAGAATAACCTTGCAGAATATGTGACCTTGTTTTACCACACATTACAATGAACTTAGAGAACAGCTGAAGGTGTGGAGCCAATTATACACGCTTTGATTTTATTTGGAGAATTCTTGAAGATGCTCATAGTGGACCAGCATGAGAATAAAGTATTAGAATTTTAAATTATTGTTATATTATTTTAAATAAGAAATAAATTTAACTTGGAAAATTAGTGCTTAACACACTGACTTTAACTCTATGTAGTATGCTCTAGGATTCTCAAAAAAAATGGGATTTCCAGCACAGAATAGTTGACAGAGGTCCATATCCAAACTTTGTTAGTTAATATTAGATGACACATACTTAACTAGACATATGTAAGGTAAACTTATAGTAGTACACTGAAAGCAAAGGAAGCAATGTGGAGTTGACACTTCTGCTCCTAGAATGAACCATGAACCATTCTGTAGATATATAATTTGAAATCAACAAGAATCTCCCCATAGCTGATGAGAAATTACCAAAATAATTAGAAATTGCTATTTGAAATACTTACATCCAGTATTATTAATGGTGATATGGTTTGGCTGTGTCCTCACCCAAATCTCAACTTGAATTGTATCTCCCAGAATTCTCATGTGTTGTGGGAGGGACCCAGGGGGATGTAATTGAACCATGGGGGCCAGTCTTTCCCTGCTACTCTCGTATAGTGAATAAGTCTCACAAAATCTGATGGGTTTTTCAGGGGTTTCCAACTTTGCTTCTTTCTCATTTTTCTCTTGCCACCACCATGTAAGAAATGTCTTTCACTTCCTGCCATAATTCTGAGTCCTCCCCAGCCATGTGGAACGGTAAGTCCAATTAAACCTCTTTTTCTTCCCAGTCTCAGGTATGCCTTTATCAGTAGTGTGAAAACAGACTAATACAAATTGTGAACTTTACTCAAAGTATGTATTGTGATTTCAGACATCAGCAAATAACAACATGGAACCATTACAATTAGCAAGACATTTATAAACAAACAAAAAAAACTCACATTGTTACAGCAATATTTAAATACAGTGCTAAAATACTCTAAATTCATTGATGGTTCTTAATAATTATCAAAAAACAATACGCTAGCTATGTTGAGGAAGTACATTTATCTCCATCTGCTTTTTAAAATGGCTGGAATAATTCCTGGAAATAACATGGGAACCAATAATACACATATTTTGTTTTTTGGATCAATGAAGTTTTGGAAGAGAATATATCCTTTGGATAAGACAACTTTTAAAATCAAATACAAGAAAAAACTAAATATAGCTTTTCAATACCAGGCTTCAAAAATAATGAAATATATTTTTTTTATTAAAAGGTAATTATTAATATATTAAAATACCATATTAAGAGTAAAAATTCTTTGTAATATACATTAAATAAAATGTTTAAGAAATATTTAAAGTACTATTAATTGTATTTTAATTTACCCCATTAATATCTTTTTTTGTGTATTTTTATCATGGTCCTAGTATAACATGATTTAGTATAAATAAATATGTAAATGCTTACATTTTGCTTACAAAATGTCTTCATTGATACAAATATGAAATCTAAAAACTTTGGAGACTACTTCCCTATAGGAAAATATTAATATAACAACTGTCAATGACTGCAACCTTAATATATCTTTACAAAACCTTTTCACCATATTACTTGCAACTCCTTGAACACATTACTTTCACTCTGGGCTCCTGTAAAAACTATATTTTCTTCATGAATGCCCTTATCTTCTTGTACTCCATTAGGAACTCATCCAACCTTTAAAACATAGCTCAATTATCTCTTCTTCAGTAAGTTTCTCTAATATCCCTAACCAAAATTAATCCCATTCCTCATCTATACTCCAATATTACTCTGTTCTAATTGTTATCATAGTATTTACTACATTAATAAATATTGTTTATTTATTTATGTATCAATTCTCTGAAAGTAGGATCAGAGTCTAGATTATCTTACCTTCCCAAGTTCAGTAGGTGCCTGCCACATAGAAGATATTCAGTAAATTCTGAATGAATTTTAAAAATGAATTTAAAAAATAAGAGTAAATATGATGTTGCCAAGACTCTTCAGGGCTATCTTATAACTTTAAGTCAATAGCACAAGGTATTCAATTCCAGGAGCTATTATATAAAATAACAAATTCCTGGAATTTTACAATTTTACAGAAACAAATAATTGACTTGTATACGTGGATACCAAGAGCTCCTAAGGACAGATCACAACATGCAGGAGCTCTGATGTATCCTTGAACAATATTCTTAAGAGTTGTACACTCCATACATTCTGTGGTACACTCTGAGTCAAGAAAGAATTTCAAAGTGTAACCTCCTTTCCCTACATTATTCTAAATATTTTAAGCAAAGTGTCACAGAAAACATTTATTTTCTTGCCATTTAATAGAGCCAGTAGGGATAAAGAAAACTATTTATAAAAATGTTGAAAATATGTATAAGAAGATTCACCAAAAACTAAAAAATGGCCTCTCTAAAAAATGGCTGTGACTTTGTTGTTTTGACATATTGGTCAGAAGAAAAACAAAAACATTCTAATCATTTCATATAATTCTTACATTCAAAGAAATCAATAATTTTTCTTAAAATATCTTTTAATATAATGCATTTACACCAATTATATAAATTATTTGTGCCTACTGTCTGTAAATTTTTCTCTGCTAAAAATAAATGAAAGTTGCTGAAATATTAGAAAATATTCTCACAGGAAAGCCCATTCATCCCACAACTACCCTAAGATCATGGAGTCGGCAGGATTGCTCTTTATATAACATATTTCATCCAGTAATTATTAATTTATAATCTGTCTAGATAGTTTTGAACACTCATTTTTTTGCCTTTTTTCATTCAAAGGTTTTTTTTAATTATACTTTAAGTTTTAGAGTACATATGCACAATGTGCAGGTTTGTTACATATGTATACATGTGCCATGTGGGTGTGCTGCACCCATTAACTCATCATTTAAAAAATTATTCTACTATTACTGATTGCCTGTGAATGCTTGGGCCAGAATTTCCACTGTGTTCTTTAAGTTTATTAATAATCCACTTTAAAAAAAAGAAGGTTAGAGCCATCAGTTTTGAATAGACCAAATTTTTTAACAGTTTACAGATAAGTTGGGTAATATTTCACTTTAAATGAAAGTAATCATAACTTTAAAGCTAAAGTATTTAACTGTCAATGAGCTGTCCCAAATTAGATCAAAGTCAAAATTAGCATTCACTCATTTCTTGGGCCTGACCTTCATTTCCTCTAAAAATATTACGTTAAAATAACTACAAATACAACATTTTCCTCAATGAAACACATATGTGTTATGTGCTAAGGCACGTTTCATTTACTTAACTCATTTAAGTTTTTCTTTTACCAGTATTTATCATCATATTAATGCCATTGAAACTTCTATTTTTGCATCTACAATGGAGTAATTAAGGGTTTGACCGTTTCATTTCAATGTGACAGGATAAAATTGTTTATACATCTCAGCTTTCTATTTCTTTACCTGTACAATTACACACCCCTGGGGATGCTGTAAGGATTAATGAGTTTGAAAAGCACATTGACCTTTCTGATGAAACATGCTCTGTAAGTACAAAATGTTATTTTACTGTACTCCAAAGAAGAAAGATACATTGCAAAAAAGTAAAAACATAAAATAAGATGAAATTGAGGTAGATTGATAACACAGGTACATTATGAATAAAAATTTTCTCAAATAAGGCTTTGTCTTAGCTTTTAAGTTTGTTCTTGTTCCAAATATTCATTCTTTTGTTAGATTTGTTTTTGTATCTAGTGTATGTATTTAGTCATTTCTTTGAAAATGGATAACATTAATGTTAGTATAAATTATATATCCTCACTGTATTCCTCTTTAGACAGTATATAAGACCATAATTAATACAACTAATCAGAGTACTGCTAGTTGATTGATTACTATGTGCCGGGCATTGGGCTTTAAACTAGTCTTAGTATATTTGGTATATTTAGTTGATACTAGTCACAGTATATTTAGTTCAAGTCATACAATATATAATGGAAGAAAATAAACTATACAGTAACTTATCCTAGCTGATCAGTGATATTAATATTTTTGAACTGCAGTAATAAACAGAAATGAATGCACATAGAAAAATGTGACTTGAAGAAGCTGAATTTGGTAGTGTGAGTCTGGGCCAATTTACAAAGAGAAAAATAGTGAATTTGAGGTCAACCAGCAAATTGGCATAGCTCTTTGTTGGCTGTGCTCTGGGTCATATTGAAAAAAAATCATTTTGCAGACCAATGGCAAGAAGCTTTCCTCATATATTTTCTTTTAGCAATTTTAGAGTTTCAGATCTTGTATTTGAGTTTTTAATCCAATTTGAGTCAATTTTTACATATGGCATGAGATAAGGGTCCAATTTTATTCTTCTGCAAGTAAATATCCAGTTCTCCCCAAAACATTTATTGAAGAAACTGTCTTTTTCCCTATTGTATGTTCTTGGCACCTTTGTCAAATATCAAATAATACTAAGTGCATAGATGTAATCCTGAGCCCTCTATTTTGTTTCATTGTTCTATATGTGTTTTTATGGCACTGCCATCTTTTTTGATGACTGTAGAGAGCTTTAGGATATATTCTAAAATCAGTAGTGTGATGTCTTTGCAGCTTTGCTCTTCTTTGGCTATTCTGGGTCTTTTGTAGCTCTATATAAATTTAGGATTTTTTTGCATTTTAATAAAAAATACCATTGGAATTTTTATAGAGACTGCATTGAATCTATAGACTGCATTGGGTAGTATGGACATTTTTACATTATTATTTCTTGTAGTCCTTCAACACAGGATATTTTTCCATTTATTTACATCTTCTTAAATTTTGTTTATCAATGTTTTTCAGTGTTCAGTGTACAGATTTTCCTCTTTCTGGTTAAATTTATTCCAAGTTCTTAAGATTTTTTTGTGCTATTGTGTATGTGGTCATTTCATTAGCTTCTTTTTTGACAGTTTATTGTTAGATCAAAAGGTTATAATGAACATACAGAACATTCCATACAACAGCAGCAGAAAATACATTCTTTTCAAGCCTGTAGTGAGCACTCTCCAGGATAGATCATATATTAGGCCACAGGAAAAGCTTTAACAAGTTTAATAATATTGAGACCATATCTAGAATCTTTTTTGACCACAATGATATGAAATTAGAAATCAATAATAGAAGACAAATGGGAAATTCACAAATGTGTGGAAATTAAACAACATGCCTGTGAATAAACAATGTCAGAGGATAAATCAAAAGGAAAATCAATACGTATCTTGAGACTAAGGAAAATGAGAGCACAATATACCAAAACTTACAGAAGGCAGTGAAAGCATTTCTAAGAAGGAAGTTTATAATGATAAATGCTTACATTAAGAAAATAAGCAAGATCTCAAGTAAACAATAAGCTATACACATTAAGTAAAAAGAAAAAACCAAGCTGAAAATTAGAAGAAAAAATAATGAAGATTAGAGAATATATGAGACACAAGAATTATAATAGAAAATATCAAATATATTGGTTTTTTTTAAAAAATTGATAAACCTTTAGCTAGACTAAAAGAAAAAAGAGTGGATATATAAATCAATAAAATTATACATGAAAGAGAAGAAGACTCTACAACTGATACTGCAGAATTAGAAAGATTATGAGGCTACTATAAGTAATTGAGCAACAACAAATTGAATAATTTAGTAGAAATGGATAAATTTATAGAAAAATGCAACCTACCAAAGCTAATTCATGCAGAAATACAAAAACTTGAAAAAGCTAATAATAAGTAAGGAGACTGAAGACAAAAAAAAAATTCCCGTAAGTAAGGAGATTGAATCAGTAAAATATCTCCCGACGAAGAGAAGCCCAGGACTTCATGGATTCATTGCTGAAATCTACCAAACATTTAAAACACAATTAATATCTATCTTTCTTAAAATATTAAAGAAGAGGGAATGCTTTCAAACTCATTTTATGAGGCCAGAATGACCCTGATACCATAGCCAGACAAGAACATTGTAAGAATAAAAATTATAGGCCAATAACCTTGATGAACATAGATGCAAAAATCCTTCAATAAAATACTGGCAAGTAGAGCTTAACAGGCCATTGAAAAGGATCATACACTATGATCAAGTGGGATTCATCACTGAGATGCAAGGATGTTCAACATCTGCAAGTCAAAAAATGTGATCTAACACATTAACAAAATGAAGAATAGAAATCATATAATCATCTCAATAGATGCAGAAAAGCATTTCACAAAATTCAACATCCTTTCATGATAAAAATACTCAAAAAATTAAGTGTAGAATATACGTCTCTCAACATAATAAAGGCCTCTTACTAGGCCTGTCTTATATATAATACAAAACAAATCACAGCTAACGTTATATTCAATGGTGAGAATCCGAAATCTTGTCCTCTAAGATCAGCAAAAAGACAAGGATGTCCACACTTGCCAGTTCTATTTGATATAGTATTGGACATCCTATGTAGAGCAATTAAGCAAGAAAAAGAAATTAAAGACCTCCAAATAAAAAAGGAAGAAAAAATTATCTTTTTTTAGATGATAGAATCTAATATATAGAAAATCCTAAGACCTCCACCAAGAAAATTGTTAGAATTAAAAAAGAAATTCAGTAAAGTTGCAAGATATAAAATCAACATGCAAAACTCAGTTGCATTTCTTCTGTTTTAGCATGACAAGCTAAATCCACAGTCAGCCTTGTTGCTTCCACTCTTTTGAGCATTCCACTTATACATCTTCCAGTGTATAAAATGAACTACTGTAGTTCCTTTTGTCATATATAAGGCCACTGTCCAAATACACTGTCTTAGAGGGACCTCTAGCTCTAAATATAAAGAAGCATACCACCCATCCTCTCATTCTTTATCACATCAACCCAAATTATGACTCTGTATAATGATCTTGTTAATTACTTGATTGGTTATTGATTATTAATTTCTAGCCCCAAGAATGTAAGTTCCTTCAAGACAGTGTCTCATTCTTTTCTGTATCCTCAGGCCTCAGAATGGTGCCTGGAAAGTAATTTATGTTTGGAAATACTTGCTAAATTAAATAATAGATTGATTAATAAGAATATTTGAGGGTCTCTAATTATTCATTACATTTATCAGCTTAAGCACATTGGATTCTAACTCAGCATCATTGAATAAAATGTTATTGGGCTGTAACATGCTAAAATCTCTTGTCTATGCAAATTTGAGGGTAGTTTAGCCATCTGAGCACATACTTGAATTAGAGATTTTATGTCATACATTAAAAATTATATTCAAATTTTTATCTTAAAAAATGAACTTATTTCTTCTATATACCATAAAATGAAAAGACAATACTAATTTTGATTTCAATATCAGAATTTCCTACTACATTGAAATTTGTCAAAATTCAAACTGCCACAGCATTTTTCCCCTCCCTTTTGCCTCTACTTTAAGCTCAAGTTATAATTACAAATGTTGATGTTTGACAGTTCTGATGTTTGTCAGCACACTAAAAGGAAAGAAGTTCATTTTCAGGAACAAAATCTCAATAAAACATGCAAAAAAGTGACCTTTTGTGTGTAAATGATCTCTTCTTTGGAAATATAAATTAATAAAAGAATAATTTCCTGGTAGTACATTGCAAAGTCCTCCATCTTGAGTGCTTCGGCCTTGACTGATTGTGTGTGTGTGTGTGTGTGTGTGTGTGTGTGTGTGTGTGTGTGTTTGTTTTTTGCCTGCTGCTTCAGGAACTACTCAAGAGAAACAAATATTTTAAGGAACATTTAGAGCCTATACAAGCTCAGCTTTCGTCATAAATTGGTGTTAATAAAATCCCTGCATGGGTCTTTGGAAGTCTCTATTGGACTGTATCCAGTGGTTTTCAACTTTACCTACAATAAAACCCTAATAGAAATATCAAACAGCTATTGAATACGGCTCTTCAATGAGGTTTTGCAGCAGGTTAGGTGTTGGGTTTAATATGCTCATTATTTTTTATCAAGCAAAGAATCATAAGCTTTACATTTCAGAGTAATTCATAGCTCACTGTTTTTATTGAGATAAACTGTAAACATTTAAAGAAATTTTCCTTTAATCTATAAAGGCACTGTATAGCAAAACTATATTTTAAGCAATTAACACAATAACATAAGTATTGCCTTTCAAAAATCTGCATATATAAAGGTATTTGAAGAGTATATTATTTTTACCTCAAATATATACATAAGCTTTTGTTTTACTTATTGCTTCCCTAAATATATAGTATATAAGTAAAATAATGTAACAAAAATCCTGCCCATGCCCCTAGAAATATAGTAGTTTGAATTATATTTGACTGCTCTTTCTTTTTTATTATTGTAGAGTATATCTGGAGCTACTGGCTATATCAAGCAGAAAATACTTTATGTTCTTAAAGTAAGTCATGAACATAAACTTTCAATATTATTTAAAATAATAGTTTCAAATGCTCAAGTTAGTTTTGTTTTAAACAGTGAATTTGGACACTTCTATGTAAAATCATAGAACTGGAGATGGAAGTTTGCTTTGCGCATATTCAGAGAATTTATTACTGAAAACAATATTGCAAAATTCTAATATCAATAATATATTAGCATTTCATTCAGTTATTCTTTCATCCCCTGTGCATTCATTAACACCAATTCTGCTCCAGGCACTAAATCAAAATTATGAGTAAGATATGGTATGATATAGTATAGTATAGCCCAAGAAGCTCTCAATTTTAAATATAATTCTCTTCTTAAAACATTACAAAACGAACTTCTGTTTTCTGAACCAGAAATAGCCACTCCATTCTAACAATAAACGAAAAGCTGAACAAATCAACAACTCTTCTTAGATTCATAAAATAATAAGTCATGTTACAGCACAAATCGCATTCTCCAAATTTGAAAGACAGATAGGCAGATACAGAGAGCCACAACTTATCAGAGCAGAAACTTCCATGGGAAGCAATAGGAAAATCTAAACTGTAATTGATGAATTGCTGGAGACCCCCTGAGGACAAGTCCTTGAGTTAAAAGCTCCAAAGGGGACCAGTCATGGGGCATGGTGTGGAGTGACATACGGTGCCACAATTTTGTGTTTTACCTGCAAAAGCCCTACGAAGTCCTTACAATAAATACCAGAAAACATTCCATCTTGCTTCCAGCAAGAGGAGGGAAAAAGGAAAGTTTGGAAATATTTCAGAGCATTCTGTTTTTAACAAGTCCTTCCCTTGGGAGAAACTATTTTCCCAGAGCCTAACCTGCAAAAGTTTTATCAGAGCCTGACATACCTGGAGGAAGGAAAATACCCAACTGTAGCCAGTGCTAGCCTCCCATGTTAGGGAAGACCCAGTGACAGTTCCCTATACCCTTCCACATGGGTAAAGAGAAATACCAACTCCAACACATACTATCTTGTTGTCCCACTTAATGCAGGAAGGAAAAAAAAAAAGCAGCAATGACAAAACAAAACTGAGAAGCGGCAGTGAAGTTCACAGTGTAGACACTGGCTCACCGAAGGACTAAGGCTCATTTATTTTTTTGAGACAGGGTCTGGCTCTGTTGCCCAGGTTGAAGTGCAGTGATGCAATCTTGGCTCACTGCAACCTCCACCTCCCAGGCTCAAGCGATCCTTCTGCCTCAGTCCCCCAAGTAGCTGGGATTACAGGCGCACCAGCACGGCCGTCTAATTTTTGTATTTTTAGTGGAGACGGGATTGTGCCATGTTGCCCAAGCTGGTCTCGAACTCCTGAGGTCAAGTGATCCGCTTGCCTCTGCCTCCTAAAGTGCTGGGATTACACACTTGAGCCACCTTGCCTGGCCCCCAAAGGACTAAGACTTAATAATAGTATGATTGAATGCATCGCATCTCCCCACAGTTTACAATTGCATTATGAAAGACCTGTTTTCCACAGTTTATTTTACTCAGCACATCATATCCACCTTTCAACAAAAAAATTACAAAGCACACTAAAAGGAAATAAACACAGCTGGAAGAGAATGAATGAGCATCAGAACCAGAGTCAGATAAGGCAGAAATGTTAAAATTACAAATAATGAATTTCATAAAACTATGATTAATATGCTAAGATCTTTATTAGAAAAAGTAGACAACATGCAAGCACAGATGATAATGTAAAAAGGGATAAAAATTCTAAAGAAAGAATAAAAAAGAACTACTAGAGACCAAAAACAGTATAACATAAAGAATGACTTTGATGGACTTATTAGTAGACTATACATGGCTAAGAAAAGAATCTCTGAGCATGTGAATAGGAGAATAAGAACTTCCAAAATTAAAAAGCAAACAGAAAAAAAGGCTGAAAAACAAACAAACAGAAAAGAATGTCCAAGAACTGTGGGATAAATACAAAAGATATAACATGCATAATGGGAATATCAGAAGGAGAAGCATGAGAGAAAAAAACAGAAGCAATATTTTAAGGAATAATGATGAAGAATTTTCCCCAATTAATGTAATATACATCACATATCCAGGAATCTTAGAGAATACCAAGCAGGATAATTGTTGAGAAAATGACGCTTAGGCATAACATATTTAAACTTCAGAAAATCAATAATGAAGTCACAAAAGAAGCCAGGGGGATGGTGTGGGGGAGACACTTTACCTACAGAGAAGCAAAGAAAAAAGAATCACATCCAATTTCTCCACAGAAACCATGCCAGATAGAAGAGAGTTGAATAGAATATTTAAAATATTGAGAGAGAAAAACCCACAAACCTAGAATTACATACCATGAGAAATTATTCTTCAAAACTGAAGGAGAAATAAAGACTTTCAAAAAAAAAAAAATTGAAGGAATTTGTTGCCATTAGACTTACCTAGCAAAAAAATGTTAAAATAAGTTGCCCAAAGAGAAGAAAAACAATACAGACTAGAAACTTGAGTCTATGTAAAGAAAGAACATTAAAGAAGGAAAAAGTGAGTGTAAAATAAAAACTTATTTTGCATATTTTTAGTTAACTTAACAGAAATATATTCCTTCAAAATAATAGGTATAATTTATGTGCATGTATGACCGTGTATAAATAAAATGAATGGCAGCAATGATACAAGGGACAGTTTGGAGGAATAAAGAATATTTTGTTATTATAAGGTAATTGCATTACCTGTGAAGTTGTATGGTGTTATTTGAAAATGGATTTTGCTTAGTTTTACACGTAAATTGCAAACTTTAGCGCAACCAGTAAGATAGTAACAAAGTATCACTGATATTCTAAGAAAGGAGAGAAAATAGTGCAATATATAACACTCAAAACCATAAAAGGGCCAGGCGCAGTGGCTCACGCCTGTAATCTTAGCACTTGGATTTTAGGAGGCCAAGGCAGGTGGATTGCCTGAGCTCGGGAGTTTGAAACCAGCCTGGGCAACATGGTGAAACCCCATCTCTACTAAAAATACAAAAAGTTAGCTGGGCATGGTGGCATGCGCCTGTAATCCCAGCTACGTGGGAGACTGAGGCAGGAGAATTGCTAGAACCCAGGAGGCAGAGGTTGCAGTGAGCCGAGATCACACCACTGCACTCCAGCCTGGGCAACAGAGCCAGACTCTGTCTCAAAAAACAAACAAAAAAACAAAAAACTCAGAAAAATTGTGGATTATTGGAAAAAAATATAAAAGCAACAAATATAAAATAGAAACAAATATGATACATATTAGTATGACTGTACCATTCATCAATTTAAAATTCAATCGTAGAAATATAACAATTATAAGACAGATTGTCAGAATGGATCATAAAATAAGACCCAACTACATGTTGTCTGTAAGAACCCATTTTAAATATGAAGGCACATGTAGATTAAAAGTAAACAGAAGGAAGAAGGTATACTATGCCAATACTGATCAAGAGAAAGTGAAGTTGGCTGTAGTTTCAGATACAGCAGACTTCAGGACAAAAGGAGCACTACATAAAGATAAAGGGGCCAATTCTCCAAGAAAATGTAACAATCCTTAACGTGTATGTGCCTAACAACAAAGCATCAAAATATGTGAAACAAAACCTGACAGAACTACAGGACAAAATAGATGAATCCATTATCATAGCTGATTGTAACATCCGTCTAACAGAAATATGCAAATCCAGCAGGTAGAAAATTAGTAAGGACATTACTAAACTTAGTAGCATCACCAGTCAATTACATGTAATTGAATCTATACACTAAAGCTCATATGGAGCATTTTCCAAGACAAGCCATATTCGGGGCCATAAAACACACCTTAACAAATTAAAAATAATATAAATCATGCAATGTCTACTCCCAGACTAAGTTCTAGAATTAAACTAGAAATTAGTAACAGAAGGATAGCTTAAAAATCCCAAAATACTTGGAATTTAAACAACACACTCCTAAATAGCACATGGGTGAAAAAAAAAAAAAAAGAAAACTCAAGAGAAATTTAAAAAATATTTTGGACTAAATAAAAACAAAAATACTACTCATCAAAATTTGTGGGATGCAGAGAAAACATTGTTTAGTAGGACATTTATAGCATTTAATGCATATATTAGAAAAAAGGAAAAATCTAAAATCAATCATGTAAATATCCACAAGAAACTAGAAAAAGAAGGGCAAATTAAATCCAAAGTAGGTAGAATAAAGAAATAAAATTAGAGCCCAAATCAATGAAATTTAAAACAGGAAATCAATAGAGAGCAATGAAACAAAAAGCTGATTTTATGTAAAATCAATAAAATTAATAACCCTCTAGCTAGGCTGAGAATAAAAGGGAGAATCACAAATTACCAAAATTAGAAATAGAAGAGGTGGCATAATTACAGAACACATAAACATTACAATGATAATAAAGAAATATTAGGCAAATTCTGTGCCTACATATTTGATAACCTGGATGAAATGGATCAATTAATTGAAAAACAATTTGTCAAACCTCATACAAAAATAGATAATCTGAAAAGGCATAAATCTATTAAAGAATCAATAATAAATAAAATTCCAAAAAAAGACATGGGTTAACTGGCTAATTCTATCAAACTTCTAAGGTAGAAATTATACCAATTATCTATAATTTCTTCCAGAACAGGGAAGCAGAAGGAATGGTTCCTAACTCATTCTCTATATAAGGTCAGCATTACTCTACTGTCAAATCCAGTCCAAGTAAACTATAGACCTACATCTCTCATAAACATCAATGCAAACCTCCTTAACAAGCTATTAGTAAATCAAACCCAATATATAAAAATATACACCATATTAAGTGGGATTTAACCCAGTCATGCCAGATTTGTTCAACTTTTCATATTCAATTCAGATAATCAATCATACCAGCAGGCAAAAGAATAAAAATTACACAATTATATCAATAGATGCAGAAAAAACATCTGACAATATTAAAAACCCAGTCATGATACCAACACTCAGCAAACTAGGAATAGGGGAACTTCTTGAACTTAATAAAGAACATCTACAATAAAACCTACAACTAAAACCATACTTAATGGTAATAAACTTTAAGTTTTCTTTCTAAGATAAAGAACAAGCTTAGAATCTCCACACCACCACTGTTTTCAACATTTTACTAGAAGTCCTACTAATGCAACAAAATAAGAAAATAAAATGAAAGTTATATAGACTAGGAGGGAAGAAACAAAACTGCTTTTGTTCACAGATAACATGATTATCTACGGAGTAAATCTAAAAAAATAAACAAAAGAAGCCCTTCTGGATCTAATATGTAAAGATAGCAAGGTTGTAAGATAGAAAGTTATTATACAAGTCAATTGTTTTTATAAACAGGCAATGAATGAGTGGAATTTTAAATTAAGAACACATTACTATTTATATTAGCATCCACAAAAATTAGATACTTAGATATATATCTACCAATTTATATACAAAATCCACGGGAAGAAAACAAAACTGTAGTGAATGGAGGGAGGTTCCAAGATGGCCAAATAGGAACACCTCCAGTCTACAGCTCCCAGTGTAAGCGACACAGAAGATGGGTGATTTCTGCATTTCCAACTGAGGTACCTGTTTCATCTCACTGGGGCTTGTCGGACAGTGGGTGCAGCACACAGACCATGAGCCGAAGCAGGGCGGGGCATCACCTCACCCAGGAAGTGCAAGGGGTCAGGGAATTCCCTTTGCTAGCAAAGGGAAGCCATGACAGATGGTACCTGGAAAATCGGGACACTCCCACCCTAATACTGTGCTTTTCCAATGGTCTTAGCAAATGGCACACCAGGAGATTATATCCCACACATGGCTCGGAGGGTCCCAAGCTCACGGAGCCTCCCTCAGTGTTAGCACAGCAGTCTGAAATCCAACTGTAAGGTGGCAGTGAGGCTGGGGGAGGGGCATCCACCATTGCTGAGGCTTATCCACCATTGCTGAGGCTTGAGTAGGTAAAGAAAGCGGCTAGGAAGCTCGAACTGGATGGAGCCCACCGCATCTCAAGGAGGCCTGCCTGCCTCTGTAGACTCCAACTCTGGGGACAGGGCATAGCTGAAATAAAGGCAGCAGAAACTTCTGCAGACTTAAATGTCCCTGTCTGACAGCTTTGAAGAGAGTAGTGGTTCTCCCAGCACAGACTTTGATATCTGAGAACTGACAGACTGCCTCAAGTGGGTCCCTGACCCCCGAGTAGCCTAACTGGGAGGCACCCCCCAGTAGGGGCAGACTGACACCTCACATAGCAGGGTGCCCCTCTGAGACAAAGTTCCAGAGGAATAATCAGGCAGCAACACTTGCCTTTCTACAATATTTGCTGTTCTGCAGCCTCCACTGGTGATGCCCAGGCAAACAGGGTCTGGAGTGGACCTCCAGCAAACTCCAACAGACCTGCAGCTGAGGGTGCTGACTGTTAGAAGGAAAACTAACAAACAGAAAGGACATCCACACCAAAACCCCATCTGTACATCACCATCATCAAAGACCAAAGGTAGATAAAAACCAAAAAGACAGGGAGAAACCAGAGCAGAAAAGCTGAAAATTCTAAAAATCAGAGCATCTCTTCTCTTCCAAAGGGACGCAGTTCCTTGCCAGCAACAGAACAAAGCAGGATGGAGAATGACTTTGACGAGTTGAGAGAAGAAGGCTTCAGACGATTGGTAGTAACAAACTTCTCCGAGCTAAAGGAGGATGTTCGGACCCATTGCTAAGAAGCTAAAAAACTGGAAAAAAGATTAGGTGAATGGCTAACTAGAATAAACAGCATAGAGAAGACCTTAAATGACCTGATGGAGCTGAAAACCATTGCACGAGAACTACATGACGCATGCACAAGCTTCAGTAGTCAATTCAATCAAGTGGAAGAAAGGGTATCAGTGATTGAAGATCAAATGAATGAAATGGAGCGAGAAGAGAAGTTTAGAGAAAAAAACAGTAAAAAGAAACCAACAAAGCCTCCAAGAAATATGGGACTATGTGAAAAGACCAAATCTAGGTCTGACTGGCATACCTGAAAGTGACGGAAAGAATGGAACCAAGTTGGAAAACAATCTGCCGGATATTATCCAGGAGAACTTCCCCAACCAAGCAAGGTAGGCCAACATTCAAATTCAGGAAATACAGAGAACGCCACAAAGATACTCCTCGAGAAGAGCAACTCCAAGACACATAATTGTCAGATTCACCAAAGTTGAAATGAAGGAAAAAATGTTAAGGGCAGCCAGAGAGACAGGTCGGGTTACCCACAAAAGGAAGCCTATCAGGCTAACAGTGGATCTCTGGGTAGAAACTCTACAAGCCGGAAGAGAGTGGGGGCCAATATTCAACATTCTTAAAGAAAAGAATTTTCAACTCAGATTTCATATCCAGCCAAATTAAGCTTCATAAGGGAAAGAGAAAGAAAATCCTTTACAGCCAAGCAAATGCTGAGAGATTTTGTCACCACCAGGCCAGCCTTACAAGAGCTCCTGAAGGAAGCACTAAACATGGAAAGGAACAACCGGTACCAGCCACTGCAAAAACATGCTAAATTGTAAAGACCATTGAGGCTAGGAAGAAACTGCATCAACTAACAAGCAAAATAACCAGCTAACATCATAATGACAGGAACAAATTCACACATAACAATATTAACCTTAAATGTAAATGGGATAAATGCTCCAATTAAAAGACACAGACTGGAAAATTGGATAAAGAGTCAAGACCCATCAGTGTGCTGTATTCAGGAGACCCATCTCATGTGCAGAGACACACATAGGTTCAAAATAAGGGGATGGAGGAAGATCTACCAAGCAAATGGAAAACAAAAAAAGGCAGGGGTTGCAATCCTAGTCTCTGATAAAATGGACTTTAAACCAACAAAGATCAAAAGAGACAAAGAAGGCCATTACATAATGGTAAAGGGCTCAATTCAACAAGAAGAGCTAGTTATGCTAAATATATATGCATCCAATACAGGAGCACCCAGATTCATAAAACAAGTTCTTAGAGACCTAGAAAGAGACTTAGACTCCCACACAATAATAATGGGAGACTTTAACACCACACTGTCAACATTAGACAGATCAAAGAGAAAAAAAGTAACAAGGATATCCAGGAATTGAACTCAGCTCTGCACAAAGCAGGCCTGATAGACATCTACAGAACTCTCCACCCCAAATCAACAGAATACACATTCTTCTCAGCACCACATCACACTTATTCCAAAATTGACCACATAGTTGGAAGTAAAGCACTCCTCAGCAAATGTAAAAGAACAGAAATTATAACAAACTGTCTCTCAGACCACAGTGCAATGAAGCTAGAACTCAAGATTAAGAAACTCACTCAAAACCACTCAACTATACGGAAACTGAACAACCTGCTCTTAAATGACTACTGGGTACATAACAAAATGAAGGCAGAAATAAAGATGTTCTTTGAAACCAGTGAGAACAAACACACAACATAACAGAATCTCCTATTTAATAAATGGTGCTGGGAAAATGAGCTAGCCATATGTAGAAAGCTGAAACTGGATCCCTTCCTTACACCTAATACAAAAATTAATTCAAGATGGATTAAAGACTTCAATATTAGACCTAAAACCATAAAAACCCTGGAAGAAAACCTAGGCAATACCATTCAGGACATAGGCATGGACAAGGACTTCATGACTAAAACACCAAAAGCAATGGTAACAAAAGCCAAAATTAACAAATGAGATCTAATTAAACTAAAGAGCTTCTGCACGGCAAAAGAAACTGCCATCAGAGTGAACAGGCAACCTACAGAATGGGAGAAAATTTTTACAATCTACCCATCTGGCAAAGGGCTCATATCCAGAATCTACAAAGAACTTAAACAAATTTACAAGAAAAAATCAAACAACCCCATCAAAAATTGGATGAAGCGTATTAACAGACACTTCTCAAAAGAAGACATTTATGCAGCCAACAGACACATGAAAAAATGCTCATCATCGCTGGCCATCAGAGAAATGCAAATCAAAACCACAATGAGATAACATCTCACACCATTTAGAATGGCAGTCATTAAAAAGTCAGGAAACAACAGGTGCTGGAGAGGGTGTGGAGCAATAGGAATGCTTTTACACTGTTGGTGGGACTGTAAACTAGTTCAACCATTGTGGAAGACAGTGTGGCGATTCCTCAGGGATCTAGAACTAGAAATACCATTTGACCCAACCATCCCATCACGGGGTATATACCCAAAGGATTATAAATCATGCTGCTATAAAGACACATGCACACGTATGTTTATTGTGGCACTATTCACAATAGCAAAGATTTGGAACCAACTCAAATGTCCATCAGTGATAGACTGGATTAAGAAAATGTGGCAGATATACACCATGGAATACTATGCAGCCATAAAAAAGGATGAGTTCATGTCCTTTGTAGGGACATGGATGAAGCTGGAAACCATCATTCTGAGCAAACTATTGCAAGGACAGAAAACCAAACACCGCATGTTCTCACTCATAGGTGGGAATTGAACATGAGAACACTTGGACACAGGAAGGGGAACATCACACACCTGGGCCTGTCATGGTGTGCAGGGAGGGGAGAGGGATAGCATTAGGAGATATACCTAATAAAAATGACGAGTTAATGGGTGCAGCGCACCAACATGGCACATGTATACATATGTAACAAACCTGCACGTTGTGCACATGTACCCTAGAATTTAAAAGTATACTTAAAAAAGAAAAACTGTAGTGAATGATAGCAATGAAGAACTAAATAAGTAGAGACTAATTCTATGTTTCATAGAATAGGAAGGCTCAAAACTTTCAAGAACTCACTTTGCCGCAACTTGTTCTGTAGATTTAATGCAATCTCAATAGAAATAACAGTAAGCTATTTTGCCAATATTGACAAATCAATTATAAAATTTATATAGTAAGGTGAAATATACAGAAAAGCCAATTCAATATTGAAAATGAACAAAGTTGGAAGACTGACATTATTCAACTTCAAGACTTACTAGGAAGCTATAGTAATCAAGACAGTGTGGTATTGGGGAAAGAACAAACTGATAAATGGCGTGTAACTGAGAGCCCACCTAAGTAGATCCACTTAAATATAATCAACTGATCTTTTGAAAAGAAGCAAAGGCAATACAGTGAACCAAAAATAGACTTTTCAAGGAATGGTGCTGGAATAACTGGACATCCACATGCAAAAACAAATAAATTTAGATACAGATCTTACATCCTTCACAAAAGTCAACTCAAAATGCATCAGAGATCTCAATGTAAAACACAAAGCTATAAACCTCTTGAAGATAACAGAAGAAAACCTAGATTGGGTATGGCAAGGACTTTTTAGATACACTAAAGGCACAATCTATAAAAGAAATAATTGATAAACTAGTCTTCATTAAAATTAAAAACTTTTGCTTTGCAAAAGACAATATCAAGAGAATAAAAGAGAAGCCTCACATTCGGAAAAAATATTCAATACGCATCTGATAAAGGGCTGTTTTTCAAAGCATAAAAAGAGCTCTTAGCATTAAACAATAAGAAAACAACTCAATTAAAATAGGCAAAGAGTACACAAAGCACAGAAGATTTTAATGACATTGAAATAATTCTACATGATATTACAGTGGTGAATACTTTGCACTGTACATTTGTTAAAATCTACAGTAGGATATACAAGACCAAGTGCGAACCCTAATGTAAACTATGAACTTTGAGTGATAAGGATGCATCAATGTAGGTTTGACTCTACAAATGTACCACTGTGATGTGGGATGTAGAGAGTGGGGAAGGCTGTGCTAGTAGAGGAACCAATGATACATGGGAACTTCATAGTTTTCATTCAATTTTCTATGAGCATAAAAAAGCTCTTGAAGTATATCAATTTTTAAAAATGTGAAACAAAACACCTAGAAATTTGTAAGCTCTTATTAAAATAATTTTTAGAGACTTACTTATGTTCCATCATGCATAGATTAAAGATAAGCAATCCCAGACATTTTCTTTTATCGAATCACATCAAAGTAAACTTAAAATTTTGCACATCGTCAATCTGTGAATGGCCTTAAATGATCAGGATTCTAAGTAACAGCTCTAATGATTCAATAAGCTGTGCACTAATCAAACCTCTAATGATAGAATGAATAAGTTGGAAATTAAAGATGTAGTAAGTAAAGAGAAGGTGGTACAGAAGTAGGTGGTGATAGATAGACTGATTACAGAAAGAATAAAGCTTAAAATTGATTCATATAATTCAGCAAACATCTTTCTGAGAAAGAAGGCAACATACTACAGACACTATTATTTAATTCTGTCATAATTTCCTGAGAAGTCTGACATATTCATAAAATCTATTTCCACATGCTGATTTAGGAAACCACTAGCAATACCATGGATGACCAAATTCAGCAAATATTTATTGAGCTTTACCATATGTAGGATGTTTGAGATAAATTTTATTGAAATCCCAGTAAAATAGCAGCACTTAAAAACTCTTCTACAGAAAAGAGAGTATATATTAGAAAACATTAGCTAGAACATTGAAGAATATTAACTTCAGAAAATTTGGTAAGTGAGGTAACAAGTCAAAGATAAGTTTAAGCGTCAGAAGGGAAAAATAACAACTATATCATGGATAAAGATCAGTATTAAAGCATTTCAGAAAGATCTTGGTTTTGATAAGAAGATAATCTGAAAACACAAGCTATTAATCAAACACAAGTTAAAGAACACACAATATATAAGGAAAAGCATAGCACATGGACTCGATTATTCATGTTACCCAAACAAAAAAGAATATGAATAAGATAAAGAGTTAACAGCTAGAGATAAAGAAGTGAAAATGTCAAAGTTAACTAAAACAATTGGATGATTCAATCTAGAGAAGGCAAAAGTGAGAAAAAATAATTCTACAAATATAAACTAAACTGGAAGGACCTTTAGAAAGAAAATTGATCTGCTGTCATTCAGCTGGGCTGACAGAACAAGGGTAAATGGGCTTAGGCTTCACTATGGAGAGTGTAGCAGTAGGAGACTGTCAATACAGTAAAGGTTGTTTAAGCATTAGAATAGACTACACTAACAATTTATATACTATTCCTAGAGGGTTTGCATCAGCCTTCCCTGATTAAAGTTGCTGTTGCTTAGAACCAGAATAATGCACTTGCTAACTTCTCAATTTGTCTCCACAACAGTTCCACAGAGGAAAAAATGATAGAATCTACAACTCAGATGGCACTGAGATATTATATATATATATGTGTATATATAATATATATCATATATACACATATATTTAACTAAAATTTATGTTTGTATAGGGATTGTTTGGGGCAGGGAGAAGGAGAAAGTGGAGAATGGAGGCACAGCAGTCCTGCTGTTTGAAGCAGGTGTACCTCTCTATGTCTGTGGTCTTGAATTTTTGATGGCTTCCTCATTTTTTCTAAGCCTGAGAGAGAGCCTCTCCAACTTCTTCCAGTGCTGAGGAGTTTTATTATTATTAATGCTGTTTTTTATTTTTTTGGTCATGAAGAAAATCTTTTATTTTTAACTGTTTCAGAACAAACTTATTCATAACTGGTGCCTGCAAATGTGAAAAGCTTATAGATGCAGTCTAACTTCAAAAGCAGCTTAACTTTTTTTCAATTATCCAAAAAGCTGAGAAGAACATTTGCTTTCCCTTCTTCAATTATTTTAATATTATAGTTAAGTAACAAAATTATTTAGTTTGGAGTATCTATGAAGTTCATCTTTTTGCTCATTCCTCATACATACGAATGTTATTTACAAGGAAAGAATTTCTTTCATTAGAGTAAACAAGAAAATTTAAACATTTACTTCAGACTATTATCTTTCCTGCATGATTGAATAGTGGTTGTATGAATTAATTTTACTGATGCAAATTTTGTTCAGTCCCTTTAAGAACAGTCAAACATAATTAGTGTCTATCTGAATATAACCAATTCATCCTAACAGTATTGTGATTTAATGCTTTCTCTCATTCTTGCATTCAAAAAGTAAAATTAAAGAATATAGAACCAGGGCACATCCTGTTTTTATTTTATGAGGAAAGATATCAGTTCATCAAAATTTTGCCTTTGATTTTTTTAATTTGATAGGATGAATATAAAGAAAAAAAACATGTGGTTTTACATGGAATATATATACTCTGTACTCCCATATAGGTATATTGTTGATTGCTATGGGATGTAAAGCTTTATGATTCATTTTTTTAAGTCATTATTTAGAAAAAGTTATCACACTTTATATGATAGCATATTACTAAGTACTCAAAAAATAATTTTGTACAAAATTCTGATGTGTTATTTAGTTTTGCTATGGTCCCTAAATATATATGACTTTAATGACTTCTCGAACCAATACAAAAGATCATTTAAAGTGTCAGGTCCTTTAGGTTTTAAAAGTTTCATACCATTTTTGTGTGCTTTATCACTGAGTAACATGCTGTTTCCTATTTAAAAAATTGTCAAAGCACTTTTTTGTAACTATCACTGGAATTCAATTCACATGAAAATTTTAATGTCTAAATGGCATCTATAGCAGGCAACTACAATGTGCTAAATACTTTTTTAAAATTAATTTTATTCTGTCTAGGTTCAAATGTATATAGTGAAGTACTATACAACACCGTATGGTGGTTAAAAGCATGGAGCCCTGCTGCCTTGGTTTAAATCTCACTTATTATACTAGCTGTGTGACTTTGGAACAGTCACTTGACCTAAGCAAGTCTCAATGTCTTCATCTTTAGTAGGGGATAATTTTAGTAATTCTTTCACAGGGATGCTGTAAACTAATGTGTTCGAGCCTTTTACTATAATGCCTGACCGCTAATAAACACATAATGACTATTAACCATTTTTAGTGCTACAATTATTAACATATGCAGTAATCAAATGGAAGATAAATGTATTTAAAAATGGAGACATCACAAAAGGTAGACATAATTAGGAATAAAAAATAAAATCCCACTAATCCCAGGGATTCCAGTGATTAAGAACTGTCTCTCCATCTACTGTACTTAAGATTCCAGGACAAAATCCTGAAATCTTAGGAGTTCTAGGGCTCAGAGCAAGATATTTTTAAGACAGGATGAAAAAGGACTATTTACAAATAGTAAAAAAACATAGGGAACTATAAGGGATAATGAAGAATCCTAAGGCTAATAACAGTGGGGATTGTTTAATATTCTTTGAAGAGAAGTGAGCGAGAGGGTTACTGGAGTTGGTGACAAGACAAATTTTGTTGATAGGGCAGAGCTACATGACAGGAACTGAGACCTTTGGTCACGGAAGTGACAGAATGCTGAGTCTCAGACTGGGTGCCAAAGCAATAAATTATCCAAAGTCACTCTCCTTGATCCTTTAAATCTCCTGCCCTCTTTCTTCTTAGTGGAAATCAATTAGAAGTTGGAGGGGAAGGGAGTTCATTTATCAGTCAATATAATTCAAATTCCTAGGGAGCAAAGCAGGGTAGAAAAAGGTAGAGACTGGATCTACAGTGGCAAACAGATAGAATCCAACTCTGCGTTTCTTATATTTGTCTGCCTATCTCTCTCTCTCTATCATGTACTGGTGAATGTTTGGCAGCTAAACATGATCTAAATACAAATTGAACTTCTGGAAATTATGAATATGTATACCCATTCCAAAATTATTGGAAGTCAATAAATATTTCTTGTATTCAAAAGTTGCCATAAAGTTTGCTTAGGCAAATATTAAAGTTTTGTGTTATGCATGAGTAGGTATACATTTCTCATGGAAGTATTTATTCTGACAACTGTTCATTCTTCCACACTGAAATCTTAAACATCCTCTGCTAGTTGATAACTTAAATTTCACAAACGTTTTATGTTGAAAACTGTGATCCTTCTGAAAACTAGAGTATTCCTGGAAAAATATATATTTACATTGGTATGAGTTAATATTCCAAATTGTGACTAAAATATGGAAGAGTGGGAGGATTGGTTTTTTGAAGGGATAAAGAGAAGAGAGGACAAAAGGGAAAGGCCAAGGTTAAGGAGGTGCCAAGTATGCTTTTAGATTAATGTGGTCTTGCTTACTTTATAAGTACCCTGTAAGCATTGCTTCATCCCATGTTTTGCTTTTATAGTCATTACGTTTATGTCTTATTAAGTTAAAATTCAAGCTTCATTACAAGGATTCAAATGAGAAACACTTGTCTGTTGACTCAATTTTCCTTTTGAACATTCACTTCTTAGAAGACAAGCACTATCACATGTTTTCACTGTTTCTTTTCATATTTGTTTCCACATTTCTGTTTATTCTTAAAATTTTATTTACTGATTTTAAAACTGATAAATATATAGGAATAAACAGAAATCGTTTCATAAATCAGGAGGCAATGCTTATAACCACATGTTCCCAAAAGACATCCAACTGCTAATAATGACATTGAGCAGAATGAGAATACCTCCTAGTGGAAGATTTGGTTATTCTTGTTGTTTTTTATTTTTCATTTTGTGAGATTTTATTCCGTCTCCTCACCTCATCATTCTCACCTTCCAAAATAACCCTAGTTCTTTCAGCACATCTGGTTCTATGACTACCTGCTTCCCAGTACAAATAACTTGGTAGGAAACTCTCAAAATATTACTGAAAGTTTTTTTGGTTAAATTAATAAAAATTTCACCAAATATCATACTTTATTAATGTCATAAATTGGCTAAATCAATATTCAGAGCTTACATTATTAAAAATAAAATTTCTACCCAACCTATGTAACATACAATAACTTATTTCAGATACAAATTGTTTTGGTTATAAATTAGTTATTAATATTTGGGAGAATTTATCCAATAATGATGCTAAAATCCTCTAGTTTATATTTTTATGAAA
Organism: Homo sapiens; assembly: GCF_000001405.40. Classification (NCBI taxonomy): domain Eukaryota; kingdom Metazoa; phylum Chordata; class Mammalia; order Primates; family Hominidae; genus Homo; species Homo sapiens. The sequence goes on along the minus strand of NC_000004.12, from coordinate 91,535,082 downwards.
TATTTATTGTTCACTTAATTTATACTTACACATGTAACACAAAATAAAATTATCTGTAGTAGAGTTTATAACAATCAACAAAATTTATAAAACAAAATGTCTATAAAAGGCTAAATTTATCTGAAGAAAATGTGATTTAAGATAATAGTATTGATCTATATGGACAAATGGGAATAGAAGAATGTTGGATTGTTGGATGTTGAATACAAGGATTCATTATTTCAGTCTTTCATTCATAATTTCACTTATTGATTGAGCACATTTTCTTGAACTTTTACTATAAAATGTCCAAAGTAATTAGGATATTTAGAAATTATCCTACATGTTTTATTCAGTCTTAAAGAGCTTAAAATTTAAAGAGATATGTCAATCACACATAAAAATTGAATTAATATAGCTAAGAAATTATATAAGGCAATAAACATGTTGTCACATAGCTTAATAATAGCAACAATAGCAATAATATCAGCAACAGTAGCAACACTTATAGAATGTTTACATTTTCCAAATATTAGTTCACTTAATCTTCACAACAAACCCATGTGATATTGCTAGTAGTATTTCCAATTATGATAACTAAATACATAGCACAAAGATTTTTCATGAATTGCCCATGATAGAAAGCAAGTAAACATCATAGTGTGGTTTCTCATTGATAGAACTTGATTTTTAAGGACTGTGCAACAGAGTCTGCCTGAAAAATTCCAAGAACATTAAATTTAGATACATACTTAAAACCATTATAACTTAGGTTGGAAAGGAAGAGAGCGGAAAGAATTTAATTAGCAAAATCAATGTGAGCAAAATGATAGAGACAGAAATGCACATAGCAGATTTAAGAGACTATAACTGATTACAGAGTGTGCCTGGCAATTTGGAAAAAGGTATAAATAGGCCAATAGTAGTGGCTAATGAGAATTTATTTCAAATTTAAATAAGTTATAAAAAAGTGACGGAGTATAGATTGTGGCTACCTTGAATGGAATATTAGCCTCACAAATTTAGTCTTAATCCTAGAGATAATCTACAGTTGCCAGAGGATTTTGAATAGGAAAGTAGCTTGAAAGAAGCATTCTTTATATGAAGCAGAGTCTCAAGGGGAAAATGATTCATATATCTATTTGCAATTTTTTTTCAGTTTTGTTTAGGCATATTCCTGCAAGAAGCAGAGAAAGAAGCTACATATCTTATACTAAGAACCCCTTTAAAATTTCAATGTTACAGTAAAAACAACCATGATATAATTGAGAACCAGGTGAATGAATAATGTTTAAACTCATTATTTTAGTCACCTAAAAATTACGATTGGGAAATGTAGAAATAATGAGCTTACAAAGAAGCTTAAGATTTTTTTTTTCATTTTTCCTGATATACACACAGAACTCAACTGCATTAAATCAAACAAAAGGGGTTTTCAAATTTAAGTCCCCAGCAATTTATTCTAAAGTCACTGCAATTTTTATATTTGATTATTTGACTTATCCTGGCTTATACCAATAATCATAGCCAGCCTTCTGCAAAATTGAGAGAAAGAGCTATTTGTCTTCTAAACCTATTCTCATTCACTCTTGCTCTTCTTTTATCCATATTTCAACTACCGTAATCAACTTCCATACCCTATTCCCCTCCCCTTTGGGAAGGATAAAGAAGAAACTCCAACATTTTTCAGGAGGTTGGATAAAACACATTCCAAAGCTCCTTCCAAAATATATATGAGATTCTGTAATCATAGGAAAACTTATGGCTTGTTTTATATTGTAGAGTTTGAGAGTCTAGTAACTGTAAGGTCGGAAGACATTTGTTTAACTCATACACATTAATCATATTTTCAACCTTTTGCCACTAAAATTAGGTGAAAAGTTGAAATAAGTATATAAAATGATATAAAATAATCCCTCTGAAAAAATAGTGAGGTAGAATTATTCAGGTTTCTGTTGTACATTGATTAAATAATCTAAATAATAACTTATTGCCCGTGCATTTACAATAATATATTTAAATGCATTAATCTTTGTATTCCTAGTGCCTAATGTACAGCATGTAATAGGTAGATAACAATGCTTCTTCAGTGAATGAATGATGAAAAATCAACACTGCAAAGATTATGCTTTGGTATTTTAGCAATGATTTCTTTATGGGATACCTCCACAAATGGCTATAAAAATAGAGTAAGATTAATCCTCTTGGAAAGCATAACTTTTTTTTTTTTTTATGAGACAGGGTTTCATTCTGTCATCCAGGCTGCAGTGCAGTGGTGTGATCTTGGCTCACTGCAACCTCCTCCTCCCAGACTCAAGTGATCCTCCCACCTCAGCCTCTCGGGTAGCTGGGGGACTATAGGTGCATGCCACCACACCCATCTAATTTTCATATTTTTTTGTAGAGAATGGGTTTCATCATGTTACCCAGGCAATCCTTCTGCTTCTGCCTCCCAAAGTGCTGGGATTACAGACATGAGCGACCACGCCCAGTAGGAAAGTGTAACTTTTAATTGAAGACATGCTAACCATAAATATGTCTACTGATTACACATATTTTTGTTCTGCAAATTACTTTGCCTTTTATCTAACTTTACTTACTTATTCTCAATCTAGAAAATATTCCAGTTAGTTTAAGTATGTATAATAATTACCTAATGATAGTGCAGATGGGATAATAATCAATTAAGTTTGGTCTCTATATAGTAACTACTCAGACTATATTTATAGCTAGATGAATAATTCCAAACCATTAGAGAATTACAGAATTATCCATTTACATGGTATCATTTATAATGCGTCTTTTTCTAGTTAGAAATGCACCTAAAATTTTATTGTTAAAGATGGTCAGAAAACAATAGTTTAAGCCTTCATTTTATAATCTACCAATACAGGTAAAAATCCAAACTCTCCTTCAATATGAAGACCAGTGATATCTTCACCTGATTCCCTAAGTTTTTATTTCAGCATAATAGGCAACTGAAAAGTTGGTTTATTCATTTTCGTCTTGACATTCTCCATTCTGCATAAAAACATTAATTATAGCATAGTGACAAGAAACTCTGATTGGCTATAATATGTCATTGTTTGTAGGCCTGGAGCAGTGGCTCACACCTGTAATTCCAGTACATTGGGAGACCGAGGTAGAAATTTCCCTTGAGCACAAGAGTTTGAGATCAGCCTGGGCAATATAGTGAGACCTTATCTCTATTAAAAATCAAAACAGTTATCCAAATGCAATAGTAATAAGAGGTGGGTCATTAAAGAGGTGATTAGATTATGAGAGCAGATATTTCATTGCTGGGATTAGTGTCCTTATGCAAGAGGTGTGTGGGCTCATTACCCTCTTCTGCCATGTGAGAATGCAGCAAGAAGGTGTCATCTTAGAAGCAGAGAGCAAGTCCTTTCCCAACATTGAATTGTTTTGATCTTGGACTTCCCAGTCTCCAGAACTGTGAGCAATGAATTCTACTGCTTTTAAATTACCCAGTCTAAGGCATTGTGTTATAGCAGCAGGAATGGACTAAAACATGGAGTAACTAACAATTTACTATCTGTAAGTTAAACACTTTCCCTTTTCATTGAATACTTACATTTCTAAGCTTTAGTAAGTTTGTGTTGTAATTTGGTATTTTCTTACATTATTATCTTTGTTTCTTAAACTTTAAACTCCAAAGACAAATAAAATTAAGAACTCACCACACTGATACTACAAGATAGGCCACTTCCAGTGGTTTATAAAAACTTCAACTACTATATTCCTATAACATGCTTGGCATATTTTAGGCATAAGGAAAATTAACATTTTATATGATGAATACAATCACATAGATCTTCTGAATGGAGAAATCCTCCAATTATTAAATTTTAAACAATGTACATAATGAAATACATGCTCAGTCTTTGGATTAAGGCAGAATTTACTTAAATTTTAAATACCTCTTACAATGTTGAAATTATTTCTGCCAATGTCTTTGTCTAATTACTACCTATATACATTAAATAGAAAATAGTCATCTTTTTAATATTTTGGGGGCCTCATAAAGTACCTAGTACATCTTCAATAAATAAGTATACATTTTTATTGAATAAAGGATTTTAAAGAAATATACAATTTTTGCCGGGTGCAGTGGCTCATGCCTGTAATACTAGCACTTTGGGAGGCCGAGGCAGGTGGATCACCTGAGGTCAGGAGTTTGAGACCAGCCTGATCAACATGGAGAAACCCCGTCTCTGCTAAAAATACAAAATTAGCTGGGTGTGGTGGCGCATGCCTGTAATCCCAGCTACTCAGGAGACTGAGACAGGAGAATCGCTTGAACCTGGGAGGCGGAGGTTGTGGTTAGCCGAGATCACACCAGTGCACTCTGTCCGCCCTGGGCAACCAAAGCAAAACTCTGTCTCAAAAAAAAAAAAAAAAGAAAGAAAAATACAATTCTTTATAACAGAATTTTTTTTTCAGCATAAATACATAGTTGTATAGGTCAACAGTCCAGAAATGAGACAAAATATGTAATGATTCAATGTTTAACAATCAGCTTGTGTAGAAAGTGAATAATGTACTTTTTACATAATTTTTAATATTTTTATTAATGCCAGAGCAGTACAACTTGTCTGGCATGAAACATACAATTGGTCCATTTATTCATTGTTAATGTTTTGTTATTTTTGATAATATAACAGATGGGAATTGACTTTAATAAATTATCTGTAAGATCTTAAATCATGCATTAGTTATTAGGCTAAAACTAAAATTTATTTTCCAATAATATTCATAAATTGTTTATAGCATTCATATACTATATAAATGTAATCTAAATATTAAAAATTAAAATGTATTAACTTATTGATAGGCAAATCCTGTCACATATTCACTAGTTTTTATATTATTGAATATATGTTTTTAATAAAAGCACATGCCTCTTTTGAGGCTCAAGGCCCTCTTATTAATCATTTTCCTTCTTCATTACCGTTGAGAGATAAACTGTTTCATTGATTAATTTTGAGTAAGAATAATAATATTCAAGTATGGTACCTCAATAATATTTGTTAAAAAGCATTTGCTTCTTCAGATGCTTTCCATTTCTGAAAAATCTGCACAAGTTTCAGTGTTCAGCACATATGGATATAGTTCATAATGAGAAGAAATACTCCTGGGATATGAAATTGCTTCAGGGAAAATATGTAATATACATTCAGAAAGTAAATAAATTCCCTGTGTCTTCCCTCTGACGTGGATTTTAGTTAATATCTACAACTTGTTCTGTCAATGCTAATGATCAGAACATTTTTCAGAGATGAAATAAAGGAGAGAACATATACAGACAAAAATCTATTAACTTTCCTTAGATGGTCAAAACAAATCAAAGACTTCCTGAGAAGGGAAGAGAATAGCTTAGATCTATCCTGCAGCTACTCAATCTAATGAGCTGTTAAGTAGCTTGCCATAAAAGGTAGTCTCAGATACATGTAAAAAGGAAAAAGAAAAAGCAACTTGATTTCATCCTAGTATTTATACAATAAATAATGACCACGTTTTCTCATGGCTTTTACATGATTCCCAAGCTGTTACAACAAATAAGGTGAAGACAGTATAAGGAAAATTTGATAAGTCATAAATCAATCATTTAAACATGTGAAAGCAAACCAATTAAATTAATTTCCATTTAATGTAAATCTCCCAAAATATGATTGAAAAACAACTGATAACTTAGAATTAACATTTAATTTAGAATTCCTTCTTGCCCTACATGGGTCTTGCAGTAAACAAAATTACCCTCATGGCTACAGAAACAAATCAAAATATTAAAAACAAGCAAACAAAAAATACACACATAAATAAATGCCCCTCTATAATTCTCTGACTAAAAAGATAAGTGCAGTCTATTTTAATTTCACTGCTATTGAAAGGATTCATTTAGAATTTTCCTTCTTACATCTGAAACTAATTTAATCTATGGGTATGCCAATGTCATTAAATACAATTCACTGCCAAGGGGGTCATTCAAGGGAATGATTTGATCAAAACCTGTGATATTAGCAAAGCACTGAGAAACAAAAGCATTGAGAAACAAAATTGGTCACATTTTAATTAGTAACAATATTTCTGTTTCAGAATTTTGGAAAAAAATGCACTTTGGATTGGTTCTCCTATTATGATCGATTAATTAAAACCTTCAATTCTGATGCAGTTTTTCTCTGTGTCCCAGAAGTCCTGGGATGTATGTAGTATTTTATACCCAGATAAATTTCCACTCTGCATAACTTTCTCTGAATGATGTATTTATTAACATTGTATTATTTTTATGGGAAACTTCTAAATCCTGAGCAAAGTAAACAGCACTGAAGAAAAAGCAGACTTTACACAGAAGGGAGTATTCAATAAGCATGGAGTGGGTTACTACACAATAAAGGACTAGTCTTTTACATCTAATGTTTATTATTTTAGTTTCTTCACTCAACAAAAACATATTGTCTCTAATATGTGCTCATTATTGTGCTGGATATAGAAATGTAAAATATATATCTGTATGCCATATCTGTCATCAACAGAACCACCTTAACCTAACATGTAGTCCCGAGGAAATGTATAGCAACATTGCTCTGTTTTTGGAAATATGTCTCTTTTTTTGGAAAAAGGAATTTGTCAAAGTATTTACCTTTTTAAATAACATGCTGTTTATTTGTGTGTTGGTTATTAGCTGTATGTTGATAATACATTTGTTTATAGGAGGTTAGAAGTTAGAATAAATAACAAAACTGCATTTGACACTTTATATACCATCACTTTCTTAATTATTATTGGTTGATAATTTAGACATTAACAAGGCAACCACTATGGGCAAATACATTATATGAAAATATAGCAAATATATTAGCACTTGGGCTGGGCGCAGTGGCTCACACCTGTAATCCCAGCACTTTGAGAGGCCAAGGCAAGTGCATTCCTTGAGGTCAGGAGTTTGAGACCTTCCTGGCCAACATGGTGAAACCCTTTCTCTACTAATAATACTACAAAAAAAGTTAGCTGGAAGTGGTAGCCTGTGCCTGTAATTCCAGCTACTCAGGTGGCTGAGGCATGAGAATCGTTCGATCCTGGGAAGTGGAGGTTGCAGGGAGCCGAGATCGCGACACTGCACTCCAGCCTGGGTGACAAAGTGAGACTGTCTCAAAAACAAAACAAAACAAAATACATATATTAGCACTTGTAAAATAAGCTGCTTCTGTACTATGGAAGCAAGGATCCTTCTAGATTTACATGTCTGTATCAATAGCGCTAGATGACTTCCCTCTTGTATTACCTGCAGTATTGAATTTCTATTTGCCTTTAGATATTTATATATGCTAATCCTCATACTAAATATATACCTCATACTAAATATATACCTCATACTAAACATACTTGAAATGACATATCTCCAGTTCTTTAATATTCTATCACAGTAGACGGTATGAACCATTTATTGAATATAGAAACCTATGTCACTGTTATATCTGTCTCCATAATCTGAAATAACATCTTAATTCTACTTGATTTCCAAAATATTCCCATTTTTTTCTCCTTTCTATTTCTATTGCCACATTAATGCCCAAGATACTTTCATTTCTTATTTGGCTATCACAATAGCCTTTATTGATCTCTTTCTTTTCAAATACTATATTGTGCATTGGTAACAAAATTGCTTCATCCAAATACAGATGTGATCATATTGGTCATGCTCAGTGACCTTTAGAGACTTCTACTATCAGTAGTGAAAGTAAAATTGTTTTAGCATAGCATTCAAGACACTTCAGATTCTGACACTAATCTGTATTTTCAACTTAATCTCAGAGCAAGTTCTTTGGCACATGTTCAATATATTTCCCTTACAATAGATGACTCATTGTTCTTAAAATGCTATGCACTTCAAGACCCAGATGACTTTATTAAAATAAATCCATCTTCCCAAAATATCATTTTCTCTTTAAAGATCTGTTAATGTTCTACTCATAAAGATTAGCTCATGCATTAACACATTGCTTCCTTCTTCTGTGTTCTTATTATACTTTACTTTATTTAATTCTATTGTGTCCATTGTCATTACTTCTTTTGATGAGATTAAGGTTGGGGCTGGCCAGTCTCAGAGCTGGCCTAATGACTGCATCAAAGGAGAGTTTTCCTGAAGTTGAAATGAGAATAGGACAACTCCTATTCAAGAGAGTATATGATCTGGGCCAGGCACAGTGGCCCACGCCTATAATCTCAGCACTTTGGGAGGCGAAGGCAGGTGGATCACCTGACATCAGGAGTTCGAGATCACCCTGGCCAACATGGTGAAACCCTGTCTCTAAAAATACAAAAAATTAGCTGGGCGTGGTGGCGGGCACCTGTAATCCCAGCTACTTGGCAGGAGAATCGCTTGAACCGAGGAGGCAGAGGTTGCAGTGAGCCAAGATCGCATCATTGCACTCCAGCCTGGGCAATAGGAGCAAACTCCATCTCAAGAAATAAGTAAATAATAGAGTATATGATCTGAAGAAAAGGGTGGATATTATTGCCAACAAACAGAGTCAAACTCTGTAATATATTTAAAGAGATTTATTCTGAGCCAAATATTTATTCTGAGCCAGAGATTTATTCATGGCCCATGACACAGCCCTCAGGAGGTCCTGAGAACATGTCCCCAGGGTGGTCAGGGTGCAGTTTGTTTTCGGGAGGCATAAGACTTTAATCAAATACATTTAAGAAAAATACTGGTTTGGTCCAGAAAGGCAGAATGACTTGAAGTAGGGGGCTTCCAGCTTGTAGGTAGATTTAAAATATTTTCTGGTTGACAATTGGTTGAGTTTATCCAAAGATCTGGAATCCACAGAAAGGAATGTTTGAGTTAAGATAAAGGATCATGGAGACCAAAGTTTTATTGTGTAGAGGAAGCTTTTAGCTAGCAGGCTTCAGAGAGAACATGTTGTAAAATATTTTCTTATGGGACTTAAAAGGGTGCCTGTCTCTTAGTTGATTATCTCCTGGATTTGGAAAGAAGAAAAAGGGAAAAGGAGATTCTCTACAGAATGTGGATTTTTCCCAAAGAACAAACTTTGCAGGGCTATTTCAAGATAGGAAAAGTAAATATATTTGGGATTAAAATATTTTGATTTATTTATTTGTTATGTGATGGCCAGAGAAGTATAATGAGACATGTCTGACCCCCACTTCCCCTTGTGGCCTGAAACAGTCTCTTGGGTTAAATTTTAAAATATCCCTAGCTGAGGAGGAATTCCACTTAGGTGGTTGGCAGGGTGGGGCTTAGAATTTAGTGTTGGTTTACAGTATCAAAGTCCATAGGTTGAGGCTACGTATATGAGACAAATAAGAAGAAGCATAGGTAAGAGGGTAGAGTGTACTTGGAGTAAGAGAAAAGAGTTCTGAGACAGATGGAGACAAATATGATGTGAAGGTCTGACACTAATGACAGGAGGGGGTATCTGAGGGGTGAGCAGGAGGCTGATAATAAGTGATATGACTAGCTTAAAGCGTGAGAGGAAAAGTAGATGATTATATACTGAGACATAGTGTACACTCTCTCCATTATAAAACAATTTCCCATACATAGTTTATAATCACAGTGGATTACAATTTCCTTTATACGGTTCATAATCAGAGTGAATTAATACCAGTGTAGACATCAATCAGACATCAGGTATAGAAAGTCTGTCAGCCCAAAAAATAATCTTAGAAAACACTTGACCTCCTTAATGTCTACATCTAGTCTACATACCATTGTCTTCATATTGCAGACAATCACATAATCAATCTTAAGGATCTTCCTTCCAGCAATTCCAACCCACATTTCTTGACCTCTCCTTTTGTAAGAGAAGCCTTTCTTGTATCTCCAAAAATATACTGCCTCCCCTCTTAGACTTCCTTTGTCATATTTATATACTCTCCTGTATATTTCTTATTATATTTCAATTAGCCTCAACTATCTTAAACCTGGAACTTCTCCACCAGCCCTAGAATCTCCCTCACTGTGGAGATTCTCGTATTAGTTAGAGATCTCTAGCACAGACCATTTTTAAAATTCCCCATTCCTTCTTTCTCTTTTGATCCACTCTCCAGGTTCTGCACTTATTTTTTTCTGCCTTAATGGAGTCTTAAGCTGCCTGATTTCCTAATGAAAATAATTTATGTATTCTGTCAAGAAACACTTTATCCTCCCCAATCTGCAGAAGAGCCCTGGAAATACTATGTCCTATGTGATAAGAACAGATCTCTTTGTTATTCTTATTACGAAGACAATATAACCATGCCCTTTGTTTAAGACTCTGCATTACCTTAATATTTTTTCTTGCCTTTTAGTTAGTGATGGAATACAAGTGGGATACTTGTTTTCTGCGGTGTAATCACTCTTGGCTAATTGTTGTAAATAACTACGGTTTCCCCTTAGGATTTCTTCATTCATAGAATCTAAGAGCTACTACTGCAAGGTTCCCTTCTCTCATTCTCTTTTGTTATCTTCCTCCAGTAGGCACGACCATTAGGTTATTACAAGCAAATTACTAGCAATTAATATCAAATTGAGATAACCACCAGGTTTTTACTCACAAAAACCAGTGGAGAAATCTCCAAGTATGTTACAAATAGATGTTCAGTACATGCTAGGAGTAAGCCAGAGCATCTTGTAACTACATCTCATTGAGCAGACTTGTGTCTTTATCCTTCTGAACTGAAAAATCTGCTTTCCTTTTTATTCAAAAGAACTGAAATAGCTTCACTTATTTTTACTTATGACTAACTTACAGCATTCATAAAAACAAAATGAGCATAGTGACTTCAAATACTCCTTCAAAAAAAGAGATGTTATAACCTCTGTTGTTAACAATGTCACAAAATGAAGGGCCTTCACAGAAATACTTAAAATTTCTAAAGTGATATCCTTCAACGTAGTGGAAACATTTCACAATTTAAGAGACATATGACCTTGAGGTGAAACTCAATTTAAACAAATTACCAAGTGGATGACAGGGAAAGTTATTTCACATGTCCTGTTTCTTCACATGGGTGTTCTTAAAGATGAAATAGAGTAATGAAAAGGCAGTTTGTAAAACATAGGCATTCCTCCAATGTTAGATTTGTTGTTGTTCAATATGGCAGTGACTTTATATAGGTGATTTTGTCATTCTAACATGGAAAACACAAACAAATTCAAAGGCTAGCAGAAGGCAAGAAGTAACTAAGATCAGAGCAGAACTGAAGGACATAGAGACACAACAAAACCCTTCAAAAATCAATGAAACCAGGAGCTGGTTTTTTGTAAAGATGAACAAAATTGATAGACTGCTAGCAAGACTAATAAAGAAGAAAAGAGAGAAGAATCAAATGGACGCAATAAAAATAATAAAGGGGATATCACCATCGATCCCACAGACATACAAACTACCATCAGAGAATACCAGAAACACCTCTACGCAAATAAACTAGAAAATCTAAAAGAAAAGGATAAATTCCTGGACACATATACCCTCCCAAGACTAAACCAGGAAGAAGTTGCATCCTTGAATAGACCAATAACAGGCTCTGAAATCGAGGCAATAATTAATAGCCTACCAACAAAAAGAAGTCCAGAACCAGATGGATTCCCAGCCGAATTCTACCAGAGGTACAAAGAGGAGCTGGTACCATTCCTTCTGAAACTATGCCAGTCAACAGAAAAAGAGGGAATCCTCCCTAACTCATTTTATGAGGCCAACATCATCCTGATACCAAAGCCTGGCAGAGACACAACAATAAAAGAGAATTTTAGACCAATATCCCTGATGAACATCAATGCGAAAATCCTCAATAAAATACTGGCAAACCAAATACAGCAGCACATCAAAAAGCTTATCCACCATGATCAAGTCAGCTTCATTTCTGGGATGCAAGGCTGGTTCAACATATGCAAATCAATAAACATAATCCATCACATAAACAGAACTAAACGACAAAACCACATTATTATCTCAATAGATGAAGAAAAGGCCTTCGACAAAACTCAACAGCCCTTCATGCTAAAAACTCTCAATAAACTAGATATTGATGGAACATATCTCAAAATAATAAGAGCTATTTATGACAAACCCACAGCCAATATCATACTGAATGGGCAAAAACTGGAAGCATTCCCTTTGAAAACTGGCACAAGACAGGGATGCCCTCTCTCACCACTCTTATTCAACATAGTATTGGAAGTTCTGGCCAGGGCAATCAGACAAAATAAAGAAATAAAAGGTATTCAACTAGGAAAAAAGGAAGTCAAATTGTCCCTGTTTGCAGATGACATGATTGTATATTTAGAAAACCCCATCAGCTCAGCCCAAAATCTCCTTAAGCTGATAAGCAACTTCAGCAAAGTCTCAGGATACAAAATCAATGTGCAAAAATGACAAGCATTCCTATACACCAATAACAGACAAACAGAGAGCCAAATCATGAGTGCATTCCCATTCACAATTGCTACAAAGAGAATAAAATACCTAGGAATCCAACTTACAAGGTATGTGAAGGACTTCTTCAAGGAAAACTGCAAACCACTGCTCAACGAAATAAAAGAGGACACAAACAAATGGAAGAACATTCCATGCTCATGGATAGGAAGAATCAATATCGTGAAAATGGCCATACTGCCCAAGGTAATTTATAGATTCAGTGCCATCCCCATCAAGCTACCAATGACTTTCTTCACAGAATTAGAAAAAACTAACATTCATATGGAACCAAAATAGAGCTCACATAGCCAAGACAATCCTAAGCAAAAAGAACAAAGCTGAGGCATCACGCTACCTGACTTCAAACTATACTACAAGGCTACAGTAACTAAAACAGCATGGTACTGGTACCAAAACAGATATACAGACCAATGGAACAGAACAGAGTCCTCGGAAGTAACACCACACATCTACAACCATCTGATCTTTGACAAACATGTCAAAAACAAGAAATGGTGAAAGGATTCCCTATAATAAATGGTGCTGGGAAAACGGGCTAGCCATATGTAGAAAGCTGAAACTGGATCCCTTCCTTTCACCTTATACAAAAATTAATTCAAGATGGATTAAAGACTTCAATGTTAGACCTAAAACCATAAAAACCCTAGAAGAAAATCTAGGCAATACCATTCAGGACATAGGCATGGGCAAGGACTTCATGTCTAAAACACCAAAAGCAATGGCAACAAAAGCCAAAATTAACAAATGAGATCTAATTAAACTAAAGAGCTTCTGCACGGCAAAAGGAACTGCCATCAGAGTGAACAGGCAACCTACAGAATGGGAGAAAATTTTTGCAATCTGCCCATCTGATGAAGGGCTAATATCCAGAATCTACAAAGAACTTAAACAAATTTACAAGAAAATATCAAACAACCCCATCAAAAAGTGGGCAAAGAATATGAACAGGCATTTCTCAAAAGAAGACATTTATGCAGCCAACAGACACATGAAAGAATGCTCATCATCACTGGTCATCAGAGAAATGCAAATCAAAACCACAATGAGATACCATCTTGCACCAGTTAGCATGGTGATCATTAAAAAGTCAGGAAACAACAGATGGTGGAGAGGATTTGGAGAAACAGGAACACTTTTACGCTGTTGGTGGGAGTGTAAATTAGTTCAACCATTGTGGAAGACAGTGTGCCATTTCCTCAAGGATCTAGAACTAGAAATACCATTTGACCCAGTGATCCCATTACTGGGTATATACTCAAAGGGTTATAAATCATGCTACTATAAAGACACATGCACATGCATGTTTATTGCGGCACTATTCACAATAGCAAAGATTTGGGACCAACCCAAATGTCCATCAATGATAGACTGGATTAATGTGGCACATATACAACATGGAATACTATGCAGCCATAAAAAATGATGAGTTCATGTCCTTTGCAGGGACATGCATGAAGCTGTAAACCATCATTCTCAGCAAACTATCACAAGGACAGAAAACCAAACACTGCATGTTCTCACTCATAAGTGGGAAGTGAACAATGAGAACACCTGGACACATTGCGGGGAACATCACACACCGGGGCCTGTCAGGGGCGGGGGTCTGGGGGACGGATAGCTAGAAGAAATAACCTAATGTAAATGACGAGTTGATGGGTGCAGCAAACCAACATGACACATGTATACCTATGTAACAAACCTGCACATTGTGCACATGTACCCTCGAACTTAAAGTATAATAAAAAAATGAATAAATGAAAAATAAAATGAACTTAGAGCAGTATTTTCCAACTGATAATTCACAGTTGTCAGAACTTCATAAAATTGTTACACAGGACTCTTACAAATAACAGGACAGCAAAAACAAAAGTACAAATTAGGATATTTCATATTAAAAAGAAAAAAGGAAACTAAGGGAATTTGTTGCCAGCAGACCTATCTTACAAGAAGTACTAAATGGAGTCATTAAGCTGAAAAAACAGACATCAGACAGTAACTTGAATCCATATGAAGAAACAAAGAGCAAAAGTAAAGGAAACTACACAGGTAAATAGAAAACACAGTAAAAAATGTGTTTTTGCTTAAAACCTTTTCTTTTCATATGTAAGTTAAAAGATCATTGCAAAAAGCAATTATTATAAAACCAAGTTGATAGATTGTGATACATAAAGATGTAATTGTTATGACAACAAAGACCACTAAGGAGGGTAGGGAAAAAACTATATTGAAACAGTTTTGGGAGCCACAGTGTCTCAGGCCAGTTGCCCTGGCACTCAGGGAGGCGAGCCTACACGTTCAAGGCCAATCTGGTCAACACTGATTAAAAAAAAAAAAGAAACAGTTTTGTATACTATTGAAGTTAATTTGGAATTAATCTAAAGAAGATAGATTGAAGTAAAGACATTAATTGTAATCCCTAGAACAACCACTAAGAAAAAAAAACTCAAAAACATATATCCATGTATATTAAAATAAACAAAGGAAATAAATTAGTACAGTGCACCAGACAATATGTATTTATCACAGAATAAGGTAGTAATGGATGAACACAAGGAACAGAAAAGACATAAAACACGTAGAAAACAATAGTAAATGGCAGAAATAAATCTCACCTTATCAATAAGTACTTTAAATGTAAATTGACAAAATACTTTAATCAAGAGGCAGATACTGGCATAATGATTCTAAAAAAACAAATTGGGGGAAGGGACAAGATGGCTGACTAGAGGGAACTAGTACACATTGTTTTCAGAGACAGAAAAGGAGGTGGCAAGTAAATTCTAAATCTTCAACTGAAACATCCAGGCGAACATATTGGGATTCATCAAGGAAACAACTTGACAACTCAACCCATGGAAGACAGGGAGGAGCAAGACAGGACAACCACACACCCAGGAGTGGCACAGAGCCAGGGGAGACACCCCCTCCATAGGGAAATAGTGAGTGAGTGGGAGATGCCAAGGACCCACATTTCTTCAATAGATCTTTGCAACCCTGGGATCAGGAGATCCCCTTGTGAGTCCACTCCACCAAGGCCTTCAGACTGACATGCAGAGCTATATAGAGTCTGGGCAGAGCCACTGCTCAGGCACACATGGCTGCAGCTCCAGCAAAAGGGGTGCCTAGGCTCCCTATAGGCCCCGAGGAAGGGGGCTAGATCCAGGAACCTGAGCAGTGATTGTCTGCATGACTTGATTCCACTGCACCTCGCAGGATAATACCCACTGGTCTGGGACACCAGCCAACCCTCACTGGGGCTCTCAGGACAGTAGCAGCTCTGTACCTCCCGGACTGGAGTTTCCAGAGGGTGGGGTGGGCTGCCATCTTTGCTGTTTTGAAGCCCTCACCTTTGCTGCCTACAGGCTCTGAAGAGTCCCGAGTGACTACTGTCTAGAGCGGACCCCCAGTACAGTGTGGCCGCCCTATGGAAAAGTGGCAGGACTGTTCTCCATACAGGTCCCTGTCCTTACATCTCCTCATTGGGCGCAGCCTCCTGACCTAGGTCTCCAGCACATCTACCCTGCCCCCACCTGGATACTTCAGAAGTGGCTCAGCATTTCTCCAAGGAGAAAATCCCACTCAACCCACAACCCCTTTGCCATTGCAGATGCAGTGGTACCACTCTAACTACCATCAGGCTAGGGAAAGAATAAAGGACCTAGTCAATACGCTGGAACCTCCCACACACTGCAGCCACTGCATGGATCAGAGTCCAGTCCATCTTCCCTGGGAAAGCCTAACCCCCACTCTTCACCAATCTGGGCCCCTGGTTCAGGACCACAGAATAGTTGCCCAACCCATGGCTGAGCATACCCACTGGTGGTGGCTCTCAGTTTCCCTGGGAAGAGTCTCTCAAAGGCAAGTGACAACCCTTCTGCCACTGCCACAGAAATGGTTCTGCTCCTGTTTCTCTTGGTCTAAGGAAATAACAAAGAGTCTGAGGTCTTCACCTGAACTTACAGCACATAATAGCCACTATATAGAGAGGAGCCCAGTCTCTCCTCCATGTGAGCCCTTGATGCCCCAACACCCAACAAACAGACCCACTAGCTCAGGCTAGCAGTACAGCTGCCCCACCCTCTGGCTGAACAGTCTCAGTAGGAGCAGCTCCACGTTTCTTGGAGGTGGAGCTACCAGGGCAACCAAAAACACCTTTGCAGTGGTACTTCCCTAGCTTCCCTTGGACTATAGAAGGAGTGAAAATACTGAGTATTTATCCACACCTCCAGAAAGCTGCAGTTGCCCTAAGGAGAGAAGGCCAATCTGTCTCCCATGGGTCCCACCCAAACCCCCTGCTCATAACCAGACACCTCCTCCCCAGCTTGGGCCCACAGAGCGGCTGCTCCATCATGAGCCAATAGCACTAATTGATTGCCGCTCCACATATCTCTGGGGTAGAGCCCCAAGAGACAAGTGAAAATCTCTTGAACACAACCACTGCTAAGGTCGCTTCCTTTGCTGCTACCAAGCTGGGGAGGAAACATAAAGACTAAGATCACCCCAGAGCTGCTGCATGCAGCCCGGGAGTGCCAAGCCAAGATCTGCAGCCAGCACTCAAGAGAAAGAGGAGTCCACAATTTCAGAGCCCTCAGAGGGAGCATGGCTGCAAACATGAGGAAATACAGAGGAGCTACATGACTGAGGAAGAGACTACCTACTGATCATTATGCTTAAGCACCACCTACTAGTTCACATCCCAAACTTCAACATCAAAAATGTTTTGCTATCATACCCCCCCTGTGAAACCAAAAGCAAAAATTCAGCTACAAATAAAGGTCTTGCACAAAGCATCAGCCCTCTGAAAACATCCAGAATATAAGTTTACTGACTGTACTCAATTTATATCAAAGTTAAACACACACACACACACACACACACACACACACACACACACGAGAAAGAACTGAAAGAACCAGCGTAAGAACTCTGGTAACTCAAATGGCAGAGTATATTCTTTCTTCCAAATGAATGCACTAGTTTCCCAGAAATGATTCTTAAATGGGCTGAGGTTCCTGAAATGACAGACGTAGAATTAAGAATATGGACAGGAATGAAGATCATCGAGATTCAGGTGAATATTGAAACACAATCCAAAGAAGTTGTGGATTATAAGAAAACAATACAGGAGCTGATAGACAAAACAGCTGAGTGTACAAATGAACCAAACTGACTAAAGACAAAATACACATGATTATCTAAATAGATGCAGAAAAAGTTTTCAATAAAATTCAACATCCTTCATGTTAAAAACTCTCAAATGACTAGGCATTGAAGGAACATACTTTAAAATAAAGAGTTATCTTTTAAAACCCCCACCCAACATCATATGGAAGGGGCAATAGCTGGAAGCATTCTTTTTGAAAACTTGCACAACACAAAGATGCCCTCTCTCACTACTCCTATAAACATGGTATGGAATTTCTAGCCAGAGCAATCAGGCAAGAAAAAGAAATAAAAGGCATCCAAATAGGAAAAGAAGAAGTCAAACTATCTCATTTTTCAACAACAGGATTCTATAACTTGAAACTCCATATTGTCTGACCAAAAGTTCCTTGAACTGATAAACAACTTCAGCAAAGTTTCAGGATAAGAAATCAATGTACAAAAATCAGTACCATTCCAATATATCAACAACCTGCAAGCCAAGAGCCAAACAAGGAGGGCAATGCCATTTATAACTGCCACAAAAAGAATACCTAGGAATACAGCTACATAGGGAAATGAAAAATCTCTGCAATGAGAATTACAAAATACTCTTCCGAGAAATCAGAGATGACACAAACAAATGGGAAAACACTCCATGCTCATAAATAGGAAGAATCAATATTGTAAAATGGCCATACTTCTCCCCAAAATTTACAGATTCAATGCTACACTTATCAAACTACCAATGGCATTCTTCACAGAACTAGAAAAAACTATTTTAAAATTCATTTGGAAGAAAAAGAACCCGAAGAAACAAGACGTCCTAAGCAAAAAGAACAAAGCTGGAAGCATAATACTAGCTCACTTCAAAATATACTACAAGGCTACAGTAACCAAAACAGTATAGTACCAATACAAAAAACAGACATATAGACCAATGGAACAGAATCAAAAACCCTGAAATAAGGCTGCACACTTACAACCATCTAATCTTTGACAAAACTGACAAAAACAAGCAATGGAGAAAGGTATTCCTATTCAATAAATGGTGCTGGGATAGCTGTCTAGCCATATGCAGAAGATTGAAACCAGATGCCTCCTTGAACCGTATACAAAAATCAACTCAAGATGAATTAAGAACTTGAATGTAAAACCTAAACCTATAAAAACTCTGGAAAATAACCTAGGAAATACCATCTGGATATAGAAACTGGCAATGATTTCATGACAAAGATGCCAAAAGCAATTGCAACAAAGGCAAAAATTGACAAATGAGATCTAATTAAACTTAAGAGCTTCTGCACAGCAAAAGAAACTGTCAACTGAGTAAACAGACAACTTACAGAAAGGGAAAAAATATTTACAAACTATGCTTCTAACTACATATAATAGCCAGAATCTATATGGAATATATATAAATTTACAAGCAAAAAACATACAACCCCATTAAAAAGTGGGACAAATACTTGAACGACACTTTTTAAAAGAAGACATACATGAAGCCAACAAGCATGTAAAAAAAATGCTCAACATCACTAATCATTTGAGAAATGCAATAAAACGACAATGAGATACCTTCTCAAATGAGTTAGAATGGCTATTATTAAGAAGTCAAAAAAAAAAAAAAAAAAGAGATGCTGGCAAGATTGCAGAGAAAAAGGAATGCTTATCACTGCTGGTAGGAGAGTAAATTAGTTCAACCAGCATGGAAGGCAATGTGGTGATTCCTCAAAGAACTAAAAAGAGAATTACCCTTCAACCCAACAATCCCATTAGTGGGTATATATCCAAAAGAATATCATCATTCTACCAAAAAGACACATGTGTGTATATATTTACTGCAGCATGTTCACAATAGCAAAGACATGGAATCAACCTAAATGACCATCAGTGGTAGACTAGATAAAGAAAATGTGGTATATATACACCATGGAATATTATGCAGCCATAAAAAGAACAAGATTATGTACTTTGCAGCAACATGGATGGAGGTGGAAGCCATTATCTTAAGTAAACTAATGCAGGAACAGAACCAAATACTGCCTGTTGTCCTTATAAGTGGGAGCTAAATAACAAGAACACATGGACACTTAGAAGGAAATGACAGACACTGGGATCTACTTGAGGATGGAGGTTAGGAGGTGAGAAAGGATCAGAAAAAATACCTACAAGGTACTATGCCTCATACCTGCGTGATGAGACAGTCTGTACACCAATCCCCCATGACTTGACTTTACCTATATTAACAAACCTGCACATGTACCCCTGAGCCTAAGATAAAAGTTACAAGAAAAAAAAGCAAAATCCAACTATATGTTAACTATAAGAAATCCCCCTTAGATTCAAAGATACAAACAGTTTTAAAATAATAGGGTGAAAAATAATACCATAATACCATATGTGATAGTTAAATATATTTGACAATGTAACTGGGTCACATAGTACTCAATATGTGGTAAAACATCATTCCGGGTGTTTTTGTGAGGGTGTTTTTTGATAAGCTTAACCTGTAAATCAGTAGAATAAGTTAAGCAGTTTGTTCTTCCTAATGTAGGCAGGCATCATCCAACTATTAAGTTGAAAACCTGAAAAACAAAAAATAAAAAGGATATTTCTCCTCTGCTTAAAAGAGAATTCTTCCTGCTTAATTGCCTTTTAACTGAGAGACTTTGTCGTCCTGTATTGTGAGCCTGCTGTCTTTCAGACTGGAACTATGCCATCAGCTCTCATGGTTCTCAGGTTTTCAGACTTTGACTGGAACTAAACCATTGGTGCTCCATGGTGCCTAGCTTGCTGACTCACCCTGCACATTGTGGAACTTGTCAGTCTCCATAATCACATAAGCTAATCCAAATAAAAATCTATTTTTGAACCCAGATTCATAAAACAAATACTCCTAGATGTATAAAAAGGCTTACCTGGACAACAATAATCGGGGAATTAAAAACCCCACTGACAGCATTAGACAGATCATCAAGGCAAGAAACTAACAAAGAAATTATGCACTTAAATATGCCACTTGATCAACCTAACAGACATCTATAGAATACTTCTCATATCAATCACAGAATATTCATTCTTCTCATCTGCACATAGAACATACTCCAACATCAACCACATACATAACCATAGAGCAAGTCTCAATAAAGCAAAAAATCAAAATCATACCAACCATATTCTGGGATTGCAGCGGAATTAAAATAGAAATCAATACCCAGAAAATTTCCCAAAACCACACAAGTACATAGAAATTAAACAACTTGCTTCTGAATTACTTTTGGGTTAACAATAAAATTAAGGCAGAAATAAAAAAATTATTTGAAATAAGTGAAAACAGAGATACAACATACCAAAATCTAGGGGATGCAGCAAAAGTAGTGTTGACAGGAAAGTTTATAGCACTAAATGCCTAATTAAAAAGTCAAAAAGATCTCAAATTAACAATCTAACAACACGTATAGAGGAAATGGAAAAACAAGAACAAACTAACCACAAAGCCAGCAGAAGAAAATAAATAACTGAAATCAGAGCAGAATTGAATGAAATTGAGACCCAAAAATCCATAAAAAGAATCAATGAAACCAAAAATTTATCATTTGAGAGGATAAACAACATTGATAGACTGCTAGCTACTTGAAGTAAAAGGGAGAGAAGATAAAAATAAGCACAATAAAAAAAAATGGTAACATTACAAACAATCCCACAGAAATACAAAAGATCTTCAGAGACTATTAGGAACACTTCTCTGTGTACAAACTAGAAAATCTGGAGGAAATGAATAAATTCCTGGAAACACACTATCTCACAAAATTGAATCAGAAAGAAATTGAAACCCTGAATACACCAATATCATGTTCCAAAACTGAATCAGTGATAAAAAACCTACCAACCAAAAAAAGCCCTGGACCAGATGGATTCACAGCTGAATTCTACCAGAAGTCCAAATAAGAGCTGTTACTGATCCTACTGAAACTATTCAAAAAAACTGATGAGGAGGGGCTTCTCCCTAACTCATTCTACAAAGCCAGCATCACTATGATATCAAAACCTGGCAAAGACTCATGGGAAAAGGAAAACCACAGGCTAATATCCCTGCTGAACACAGATGTAAAAATTCTCAACAATATACTAGCAAACCAAATCCAGTAGCATGTCAAAAAGTTAATTCACCATGATAACATGGCTTCATTCCTGGAATATAAGGTTGGGATGCAAATAAAAAATTGTGATTCACCATATAAGCAGAATTAAAAACTAAAATTAAAAATTATCATCTCCATAGATGCATAAAAAGCTCTCATTAAAATCCAAAATCCCTCCATGATAAAAACCCTAAAGAAACTAGGCATTGAAAGAACATACCTCAAAATATTAATAATAAGAGCCATCTGTGACAAATGCACAGCCAGTATATTTAATGGGCATAAGCTGGTAGCATTTCCCTTGAGAACTGGAACAAAACAAGGATGCCCACTCTCACCACTCCTATTTAACACAATACTGGAAATCCTTGCCAGAAAAATCAGGCAAGATAAAAAAAATAAAAGGTATCCAAATAAGAAAAGAAGAAGTCAAACTGTCTCTCTTCATTCAAGATATGATTCTATACCTAGAACACTCCCAAAGACTCCACCAAAAGGCTCCTGGAATTGATAAACAACTTCAGTAAAGTTTCAGAATATAAAATCAATGTACAAAAATAGGTAGTATATCTATACATCAATAACATTCAAGCTAAGAGCAAAATCAAGAATACAATCCTATTTACAATAGCCATAAAAATAAAATACCTAGGAATACATCTAATCAAGGAGGTGAAAGATCTTGTATTAGTCAGTGTTCCCTAGAGGGACAGAACTAATAGGATAGATGTATATATAAAAGGGAGTTTATTAAGTTTGTCAAGTTAATTGACTCATATGATCACAAGGTAAAGGCTCACAATAGGCTGTCTTCAAGTTGAGGGCAAGAAAGCCAGTGGTGGATCAGTCCGAGTCCCAAAACCTCAAAAGTAGGGAAGCCGACAGTGCAGCCTTCAGTCTGTGGCCAAAGGCCTGAGAGCCCTTGGCAAACCACTGGTGTAAGTCCAAGAGTCCAAAAGCTGAAGAACTTGGAGTCTGATGTCCCAGGATAGAAAGCATCCAGGATGGGAGAAAGAAGAAGGCTGGAAGACTCAGCAAATCAAGTCCTTCCAACTTCTGCCTGCTTTATTCTAATCACACTGGCAGTTGATTAGATGGTACCCATCCAGATTGAGGGTGGGTCTGTGTCTCCCAGTGCGCTGATTCAAATGTTAATCTTCTTTGGCAACACCCTAATAGACACACCCAAAAACGGTACATTGCGTCCTTCAATCCAATCAAGTTGACAGTATCAACCATCACAGATCTCTACAAGGAGAACTACAAAACATCACCAAAAGTGTGAACCATCGCAGATAGTTAACTCAATATTAACCATCACAGATCTCTACAAGGATAACTACAAAATACTGCCAAAAGTAATTATAGATCAGTAATCCCCAACCTTTTTCACACCAGGTACTGGTTTCACGGCAGACAATTTTTCCACAGACCACTGGGGAAGGAGAGTTTTGGGATGATTCAAGCGCATTACATTTATTGTGTACTTTATTTCTATTATATATTACTTTGCAATATATAATAAAATAATTATACAACTCACCATAATGTAGAATCAGTGGGAGTCCTGAGCTTGTTTTCCTGCAACTAGGAGGTCCCATCTGGGAGTGATAGGAGACAGTGACAGATCATCAGGCATTAGATTCTCATAAGGAGCATGCAACCTAGATTCCTCACATGTGCAGTTCACAACAGGGTTCATGTTCCCAAAAGAATCTAATGCCACCATTGATCTGACAGGAGGTGGAGCTCAGGCAGTAATATGAGTGATGCGTAGTGGCTGTAAAAACAGATGAATCTTCCCTTGCTCACCTCCTGCTGTGTGGTACCAGTCCATGGCCCAGGGTTTAGGGACCCCCTGTTATACATGACACAAACAAATGGGAAAAAATATTGCATTACTATGGCCTGGAAGCATTGTCATTAAAATGGCCATACTACCCAGAGCAATCTACCTATTCAACACTATTCCTGTCAAGCTATGAATGTCATTTATCACAGAACTAGAATGAGCTATTCTAAAATTCACATAGAACAACAAAAGAGCCAAAATAGCCAAGGCAAGTCTAAGAAAAATAAGAAGGCCAGAGGCATCATATTACTCAACTTTAGACTATACTATAAAGCTACAATAACAAAACAGCATGGTACTAGTACTGAAACAGAGACATCAACCAATGAAACAGAATAGAGAAACTAGAAATAAAGCCACACATACCAACTGCGCTTCAACAAAATAAAAAAAAAATTAAGCAAAGTGGAAAGGCTCCCTATTCAATAAATATTGCTGCAGTAACTGACCAACCATATGCAGAAGAAAGAGGCTGGATCCCTTTTTTATCGCCATATACAAAAATTAGCTTAAGATGGATTAAAGACTTAAATATAAGACCTCAAACTATGAAAATCCTAGAAGAAAACCTAGAACACACCATTCTGGAAATTGGCCTTGGAAAACAAATCATGAATAAGTTGCTCAAAAGCAATTGTTCTAAAGCATTTACAAGAAAAACAAAAATTGACCTGTGGGACCTAATTAAACTGAAGAGCTTTTGCATAGCAAAAAGTACAGAGTATACAACCTATAGAATGGGAGAAAATATTTGCAAACGATGTATCCAAAAAAGGTATGATATCCAGATCTATAAGGAACTTAAAGAAATCAATAAGTAAAAACAAACCCTATTAAAAAGTGAACAAATGACATGGACAGACACTTCTCAACAGTAGACATACAAATGGCCAACAAACGTGGAAAATTCTCAACATCACTCGTCATCAGAGAATGCAAATAAAAACCACAATAAAACACCATCTTTTGTCAGTCAGAATGGTTATTATTAAAAAGTCAAAAAATAACAGCTGTTGGTAAGGCTGTGGAGAAAAATGAATGCCTTTATACTGGTGAGAATTTAAGTTAGTTCGGCCACCGTGGAAAGCAATTTGAAGATTTCTCAAAGAACTAAAAATAGAACTGCCACTCAACCCAACAATCAAAATAAAATAAATCATTCAACCAAAAAGACACCTACACTCATATGTTTATGACAACACTATTCACAATAGCAAAGATAGGGAATCGAGCTAAGGGCCCATCGGCAGTGGATTGGAAAATAAAATGTAACACATATACACCATGGAATACTACATAGCCACAAAAATCAAAATTGTATCCTTTGCAGCAACATGGATGCAGCTGGGGGCCATTGTCCCAAGTGAAATAATGCAGGAACAGAAAACCAAATACTGCATGTTTTCACTTATAAGTGGGAGCTAAACAATGGGTACTCACGGGCATAAGAAGATTCAACAATAGACACAAGGCTATATGGGATGGGAGGGTGGAGAGAGGGGGCAATGGGTTGAAAAACTAACAACTGGGTACTATGCTTAGTACCTCGGTGACAGGATCAATCGTACCCCAAACTTCAGCATCACACAATGTACCTAATGGAACAAACTGCACATGTACCACTTGAATCTAAAATAAAAGTTGAAATTATGTAAAAAAAATCTATATATCTTCATCTGTATCTATATCTATCATCTATATTCTATTAATTATGTTTCTCTAGAGAATCCTGACCAACAGAAACAACCAAAAAAGCTGGAATGATTATGTTAATATTAGACAAAAAAACTGAAAGAATTTAAGGGAAAAACAGAAAATGTTATTAGAAATAGCTGGAGGTTTCACTTTCAATAAAGGATAGAACAACTAGGCAGAAGGTGAACACATGGAAGATGTGAACACTACATTTAAACTACATTCAACAGAAATCTATATAACACTCCACTCAGCAATAGTAGATATATTATCCTCAAGTTCCAAAGGGTTCTCCAGAATATACCATGTGTTAGGCCATAAAATGAACCTCAATAAATTTAAATGATTAAAGCCATACAAAATATATTCTTCAAGCAGAACAAAGTTAAATTAGAATGTAATAAGAGAAAAATTGAGGAATTTACAAATGCGTGGAAATTAAATAACACAGTTATAAATAACCAATTGGTGGAAGAGATTATATGCGAGGCAGTTTGAGATTAATCTAAATGAAAATACAATGAACCAAAATGGATTTGTTACAGCTGAAACAGTGTTTACAGAGATATCTGCAGCTGTAAATGTCTATCCTAAAGAGGAAAATATATTTGCATCAATACATAACAATTCACATAAAGAAGCTAAAAAAAAGAACATAAAACTAAACCCAAAGCAAGCAGAAGGAAGAAAATAATGAAAACTACAGAGGAAATAAATAAAATAGAAAGAGAAAAGCAACAGTAAAAATAAGCAAATCCGAAATTTGTTTTTTGAAAAGATTAATAAAATTGACTAACTTTTAGCTAGAATGACTAGAAAGAGAGAACACACAAATTACTAAAATCATAAGTGAAAAAGGGGGCATGACAATAAATCTTACAGAAATAAAATTGATCAAAGGGATCAAGGGGAAATATTATGAATCACCATATACCAATATTAGGTAATATAGCTAAAATGGACAAACTCCCCAAAAGATACAAATTACCAAAACCGAATGAAGAACAAGAAAATCTGTACAGACCTAAAAAAGTGAAGAAACTGAATTAAATAATAATAATAGTAAAAACTCCCATGAAAAGCCTTCACTGGTGAATTCATTGAAATATTCTAAGAAGAAATAATAGCAATTTTTCATAAACTCTTTCAAAAAATAGAATAGGAATAAATCCTTCAAAAATGATTCTATATGGTCAATATTTCACTGATACCTAAACCAAAGACTTCATGTGAAAAAAAAAAAAAAACTACAGACCAGTAACTTTTATTGGATTCAGATGCAAACACCTTCATCAAAGTATTAGCAAATCAAATCCAGCAGCATATAGAAACAATTACACATCAGGAACAGGTGGGATTTCCCTTAGGGATGTAAAAATTTTCTAAAATACAAAATTCCATTCATGTAATACCATATTAATGGATGAAAGGAGGTAAACCACATGATCATCTCAATAGATGCTATAAGATATTGGATAAATGCGCCACCATGTTTTTATATTGGGTGTACTCAAGAAGGTAGAAATGAAAGGAACTTCTTCAAATTTCATATGTGAAGATCAATGAAAAAACCCAGTTAACAACATGCTTAATGGTAAAAGACTAAATTCTTCTTCCAAGATCAGGAAAAAAAAAAAAAAAAACCCAGAAAAAAAAAAAAAAGGATCTCTGTCCTAGACACTTCTATCCAATATCATACTGGAGTTTCTACACAGAAAACTTGGGCAAGAAAAAAAAAGGCACAGATGTAAAGAAAATAGTAAAACTTTCTTTATTGAGAGATGACATAATTTCATATATATATATATATATAGAAAATCCTAAGAAATTGATGAAGAGCTTATTAGAACTAATAAACCAGCTCAGATATGTTGTGGGATACAAGATGAATATACAAAATTAATTTTATCTCTATACAGTAGCAATGAATAAGCTAAAAATGAAATTGGAAAACACAATAAAAGAATGCCTTCATAATCTTGAAGTATTTGATGTCTTAGATAAGACACCAAAAGCATCCTTGATAAAAGAAGAAAATAAATTGAAGTTTATTAAAATTTTTTTAAATTGCTTCTAAGGACAGCATCAAGAAAGTGTGACTACCTTCAGAATGAGAGAAAAAAAATTAAGTTATATATATGTAAAGGACGTGTATTCAGAATATACTAAGTACACCCACCACTTAACAAAAAAAAAGACAACCTAATTTAAAAAGATGGGCAAAAGATGTGAATAGATGATTCCTCAAAAATGATACGTAGAGGCAGGAGAATGGCGTGAACCCCAGAGGCAGAGCTTGCAGTGAGCCGAGATCGCGTCACTGCACTCCAGCCAGGGCAACAGAGCGATACTCTGTCTAAAAAATAAATAAATAAATAAATAAAAGATATGCAAATGGTCAAAAGCATATGAAAGATGTCCAACATCATGAATTGAAGAAATGAAAATCAAAATCACAATGAGATACCACTTCACACCCACTAGAATGGCTAAACTAGAGAAACCAGACAACAACAAATGTTGGATATGATGTGGAGAAATTGAAATCCTCATATGTTGCTGTTGGGATTTTAAAATGTGGCAGTCACCTTGGAAAACAGCTTGGCAGTTCATCAGAATGTTAAATATAAAGTTACCATGTGATCATGGATTTCTACTGTCATATAGCCAAGACATAAGAAGACATATATCCACACAAAAATGTGTACATAAATGTAATTAAAAGTTTCGTTCATAATAGTAAAAAGTGAAAATAATTCATATTTTCATCAACTGAGTAATGATACATAAAATGTTATATCCATACAATTGATTTTTATTATCAATTATAAGAAATGAGGCATTGATACATGCTACAATATGAATGAACCATAAAAATAATATGCTAAGTGATGGTCACAAAAACTACAGACTCTATGTTTTCATATACATGAACGTCCAAAATAGGCAAATTCATTGAGACAGAAAGTAAATTCGCCAGGGTTTGGGAGACCGACTGCTAACAGGATTAGCAAAGGAGTACTGATATATTATAAATTAGGCAATGGTAATGGTTGCTCAACTCTATGCACATACTGAAAACAACTTAATTGTAATTTTAAAAAATGAAGTTTACTATATGTTAATTACTTCTCAATAAAGAATATTTTAATGTTATGAAAAGCACATTATTCCTATTTTAATTTCCACTAAAGTTGATAAGAATAAGAATTTAAACAAATGGGAAAAGATTCCATGCTCATGGATAGGAAGAATCAACATCATAAAAATGGCTAATTTATAGATTAAATGCTATTTCCTTCAAACTGCCATTGACATTCTTCACATAATTAGAAAAAAAAACTCCTTTAAATTTCATATGGAACCAAAAAATAGCCCATATAGCCAAAACAATCCTAAGCAAAAAACAAACAAACAAAAAAACAAAGCTGGAGTCATCATGCTACCTGACTTCAAACTAGAATACAAGGCTACGGTAGCCAAAACAACATGGTACTGGTACAAAAACAGACACATAGACCAATGGAACAGAACAGAGATCTCAGGAATAAGATGGCACATCTACAACCATCTGATCTTTGACAAACCTGACAAAAACAAACAATGAGGAAAGAATTCCCATTTAATAAATGGTGCTAGGAAAACTGGCTAGCCATATGCAGAAAACTGAAACTGGACCCCTTCCTTACACCTTATACAAAAATTAACTCAAGATGAATTAAAGACTTAAGTGTAAAACCCAAAGCTATAAAACCCTAGAAGAAAATCTAGGCAATACCATTCAGGACATAGGCATGGGCAAAGATTTCATGACAAAAACATCAAAAGCAATTGCAACAAAAGCAAAAATTGACAAATGGGATCTAATTAAAGAGCTTCTGCACAGCAAAAGGAACTATCATCAGAGTGAACAGACAACCCACAGAATGGGAGAAACTTTCTGCAATCTATCCATCTGACAAAGTTCTAATATCTAGAATCTATACAGAACTTAAATTTACAAGAAACAAAACAAATAACCCCATTAAAAAGTGAGCAAAGGACATGAAGAGACACTTCTCAAAAGAACACATTCATGCACCAACAAACATGAAAATAAGCTCAGCATCACTGATCATTAGATAACTGCAAATCAAAACGAGAATGAGATATCATCTCATGTCAGTCAGAATGGTGATTACTAAAAAGTTATGAAACAACAAATGTTGGCAAGGCTGTGGAGAAATAGGAATGTTTTTACACTGTCAGTGGGAATGTAAATTAGTTCATCCATTTTGAAAGATAGTGTGGTAATTCCTCAAAGAACTAGAACCAGAAATATCATTTGACCTAGCAATCCCATTACTGGGTATATACCCAAAGGAATATAATTCATTCTATTATACAGATACATGCACGCATATGTTCATTGCAGCACTATTCACATTAGCAAAGACATGGAATCAACCTAAATGCCCATCAATAGATGATAGACTGATTAAAGAAAATGTGGTACATATACACCATGAATACTATGCAGCCATAAAAAGCAATGAGATCATTTCCTTTGCAGGGATGTGGATAGAGCTGGAAGTCGTTATCCTCAGCAAACAAGAGGAACAGAAAACCAAACACTGTATGTTCTCACTTAAAAGTGGGAGAAGCTGAACGATGAGAGCACATGGACACAGGGAAGGGAACACCACACACTGGGGCCTGTCAGTGGGGTAGGGGAAGGGAGAGCATCAGGATAAATAGCTAATGCATGCAGGGCTTAATACATAGGTGATGGGTTGATAGGTGCAGCAAATCACCATGGCACATGTTTACCCATATAGCAAACCTGTACATCCTGCACATGTACCCAGGAACTTAAAATAATTTTTTTAAAGAATAAAATAATTTGAGAGGTAAAAAGACAAAGTGAACAAAGGAAATAAATGTCAAAAATCAGATGGGCATGCTAGTAATTTATTCACTTGGTTTATCACTCAAGTGAACACTCCTTCTCACCATAATTATTTTGACTGTTAGCATTTTAAAATATATTCATATTTAGTCATGTTTTGTTTGGTTGTATTCATAATGGTCTATTGGCTAAATAACTATTAAAATAGGTAATAAGAAACATAAGAATCTGACTTTTGAAATAAAAATGTGTCAAATTTAAAAATTATGATAGTTTTGCAATTTATCCTTAATGATGTCAATGATAAAGTACAATAAAATTATTATCTAGTATTATTTTAATAAAACCATATGTGATATGTGATGATATAATGAAATTTCTATAATATTGTTCATCTACAAGTGCTTTCTGTTTCTTATGAATTAAAGGCCAGCATAACAATTAAGACACTCAAATGTTGTTTGTAGGCAACATAAGACTAATCTTGTCTGGGATAAGTCCTATACCTCCTATTATGCTTTCATTTCATTCTGTCAACTTAGGAAATTTTAGAATTTTTTGGAAAATGGTCAATAGGTGGAAAAAAATCAGATTAGGGAAAACAATTAGTACCTGGTGCTTCCACATTTTACAGCATAGTTAATAAAGTTTCACTTAGATACAACAATTCTTTTGACTCTCAAATGTATACCCTTTTCCCAAAAATAAATCATGTATCATCCTAGGCTAAAAGTTTAATAGTAATCTGCCATACAGTATTGTGTCTGTTGTACTTTCATATTTCTTGAAACCATACTTACAATTTTTCTGTGACATGTAGTCCTTCAGTTGTGATCCTGTGCATTTATAATCCAACACTTCAATGTGATTTAATTTCTATTGATAAGTAAATAAAAAGGACTTATGTATGCAGAGTAGACAGTAATAAAAGAATATAAGAATCCTCTCTGAGATAAATCCAATGTGTTCATGCAATTTAGTGGTACTTATTAAACTCCATTATACCCCGCCAATGACAAGGATTCAAGAAACTTTTGAAAATAGTTAATATAATCATGTCTCCATATTTAACCACTAAGGAGCTAGAGAAAAACTACTGAACTTTATGTTATAGCAACCTTTTCTGTGACTTTTAAGTCATCTGGATATAATTATTCTCAAGTTCTGGTCTAAATTGTAAACTTTATTAAAAGTTTTTTTACGCACATATTAATCTTAATAATATTTTAAGAGTAAACATGTTTGATTGATTCCCCAGAGCCTTTGTGTTCCGGGCTTATGAGTAAAAGTTTAGATACTGCTCCTTTTAACATTTTTTAGCTCAAAACAAATAATTTCCAAAAGACCCCAGACAGGAACACATATCCACAAGCCAGTGATTTACCATGCTTTAAATTCATCAAAATTAACAGTATTTTCTTCACTGACATTTCTCACATTTATTCTAAAAATACACAGATTGAACCACAGTTCAATAATTTACTTTATTTCTAATATTTTCTCAAATTTCCCTTTCTACAGCACATATAGCCATTGAAAATATGGAAATCTTTCTTTTTTTCTTTTTTTTTTTTTTGAGATGGAGTATCGCTCTTTCTCCCAGGTTGGACTGCAGTGGCACCATCTTGGCTCACTGCAAGCTCCGCCTCCCGGGTTCACTCCATTCTCCTGCCTCAGCCTCCCGAGTAGCTGGGACCACAGGCGCCCGCCACCACGCCCAGCTTATTTTTTCTATTTTTAATAGAGACGGGGTTTCACCATGTTAGCCAGGATGGTCTCGATCTCCTGACCTCGTGATCCGCCCGCCTCGGCCTCCCAAAGTGCTGGGATTACAGGCGTGAGCCACCGTGCCTGGCTGCAAATCTTTCTTATACAAGTTTCCCACAAACAAAGATTTAAAAGTAAAATTTTTTTTAGTGGAATTCAATAGCATATTAATTCAAAATATTATAATTTATTTCAGAACACCTAAATGAAAATGCAGGCTATAAATATATTTTGATTTTAAAAGCATGGCCAATGACGGTCTGCAATTTGAATATATGTTAAGACTACATTAAGTCATCTCATTCATTTCTCAAATACTTATTAAACTCCTACTACAAGTCAGGCACTGTTTGGAGCACTTGTGTGTCAGTGAAAAACAAGAGTAGATATGTTTTCTATATTCATTTTACCACAAACAAAAAAGAAAAATAAAACTGAGAAATTATTTCATTCTTTAACAATGATGAAACAGATTCACATTAGGTCTGTGATGGCAATAATTAAGGATGGCTTAATGATGAATAATTGGCAAATGAGACCTGCTGCAGTTAGAAGAGGTCTTTTAGTGCTTCAACTTCATCAACTCCACCAGGGGGTGGTAATGGAGTACTTCATAGGATTGTGGTGTGATTAAATGAGTTAAAATACCTGAGGCTTGGAAAACAAGAAATGCTGCTGCTGCTTCTTGTTGTTGATGATATTATTATTATATGCCAAGAATATGTTTGATTTAATTTCATTAATTTTCAAATTTTTTTCACTTAATATAGGATGAAATGAGCATGCTCTACACTATGTATTGTAAGGATAAATAATAATTAAAAATGAGAGGCTTAATTCTTCCTGATAAAACAAAGGAAGAGAGTTGTCCTTCCCTTTTCTCAGAGTATTTACTTTAGGAAACTTGTAAGTACTTTCTCCTCTCTTTAATAAGAAATCTTTTTAAAACTAGGTAGTCCTTTTGTCAACTTCATGTTCCAGGAATGCTTTCCTCAAAGCCCTGGCAGTCCTCTCCTTGAACTGTAAACATCAAAGGAGTTAGCACTCCTGTATACCAGTTTCTGTGGGAGGACAGGAGCCTAACTTTGGTGGACACCTTGTTCTAAGTCGCAATACAATCTTTTATCATTAGTAAGTTTTATTTTTCCTTTGTCTAAAGCCAATTAACTAACACAAATGGACAACCCAGGTAAATCTAAGATGAACTGTGTATGATAAGTGATGCTGTCAATTGTGCTTACTTAAGAACCAGTTATTATTTATTTTGAATATATGTAAGTAATGGGTTTACTTGGCTACATAAAAGTGGGAAATTCTCATGTTTTAATTTTTCATTTCATGTTTCTTTTATGACATGCCCAAATTGAGTTCTCTTACTAATATATAATTTAGTTAGTAGTTTCTTGTTGATGTTGTTATCTAACACAAATGATGAAAGATAAAAGGTAAAAATAATTCTAGGAAAAAATAACATGTTAAAAGCAGAAGTATAGGTACAGAAAAAAGGAGAATAGGGCAGATAAGTATGTGAAACTACAATTTTTATGCAAGGAGAAATTAAAGTTATTGATAAACATAAGGAATAAGTGAAAAGATACAAATAAATACCTGTCCTATTATATTAGGGGTAATAATTAAAAGAATATGAATGGATTATGTAACTCTTTAAATTAGCAGAAGTAAATGTAAAATGTCAAATGGAAGACAAGAAATGTGAATAAATAGATAATAAGATGGCAGAAACTATCCTAATATATTAGTTACTACAATAAATGTAAATGGTTAAACCAATTACAATTACAGATTTTCTAACTGGAAAAAATAAGATTAATGTTGTGAACATAAGCAACATTTAAATCAGAAGGAGGCTTAAATCAACAACAACAAAAAGGAATGGGATCATAAATAAAAAGAAATTCTAGATGTTAATTTTCTAATCAAATAATTATTTAATGCAAAAGAAAACAAGCAAAAACTATCCAAGTGTCTTGACAATGTGACATGTTATATCCTAGTAAAATAAAAATTGATTAATATAATATTTTCAGCTTGATATACATCTAATAATATAGGGTCAGACTATATTAATATAAATAGAACAACTAATCTATAATTATTAAGGGCATTTAATATATCATTATCAGAAACTGATAGTCCAGTAGAAAAAACATAAAAGGTATAGAAATGTAATGAATTTCACAATTACTTCAAACTAACAAATAATAATTGTAAGTATCTAACACTTTTTCTCAGGCACTGGGTAAGTACCTAACATACATTAATTCATTTAATTATCAGTTCAAATCTTAGAAATCACCACTAAATAAGTTATTCATGTAACCAAACACCACCTGTTTCCCAAAAAGCTTTTGAAATAATAATAAAAAATAACTGATGGAGTGTTTTATTGTTATCTACATTTTTCATGTGGAAAATCTAAGCACAAAATGTTTGAGTAAGTTTCCCAAGGTTGCTCAAAAGAAAAGGCAAAATAGTTTTATAATCAGTTATTCTGAATTTCAGAGCCTATGCTATCCTTTACATTCCTGTTCAAAGCAAAAGATATTTTCAAGCACCCATGAAACATTCACAAAAATTGACTGTAGTCAAAGCTACAAAAGAAGAATCAATAAAATGAAAAAGAACTATATTATTTACTATGGTCTCTGGAAAAAATAAATGAAATTATGAAGAATATAGCTTAAGACTTCACAACAAGAAAATGAGAAGCCAAGTCATATACCAGGAGAAAATATTTGCAGATGTATCTGGTAAAGGACTTATCCAAAATATATAAATAACTCTTAAAACTCAACAATAAGAAATCAAATAACCTGATTTTAAAGATGGGCAAAAGACCTGAGGAGATAACTCATAAAAGAGGATCTAGAGATGGCAAGTAAGCATATGACATGATGTTCAATATTATGTCATTAGGGCATTGCAAATTGAAACAACAATGAGATACTACTACACACTTAATAGAGTGGCCAAATCCAAAACGCCTACAACACAAAATGTTGATGAGGATATGGAATAACAGGACCTCTTATTCAATGCTGGTGTAAATACAAAATGGCACTGCCACTTTGGAAGACAATTTGGCAATTTCTTAAAAAACTAAATATACTCTTACGATAAGGTTTAGGAATTGCACTTATTGATTTTTACCAAATTAATTGAAATATATATGCACTCAGAAACCTATACATTGATATTTATAACTGCTTTATTCATAACTGCCAAACTAGGAAGTAATCAGGATGTTCTTCAGTAGATGAACAGATAAACTGTAGCACATCCAGAAAGGGAACATTATTCATCACTAAACACAAATGAATGAGCCACCAAGCCATGAAGAAACATGGAGGAAATTTAAATGCCCATTACCAAGTGAAAGAAGCCAATCTGAAAAGACTACATAGTATATTATTTCAATTATATGACATTTTGGAAAAGTAAAAACTATAGAAACAGTAAAAGGATCAGTGGCTGTCAAAGATTAGGGGGAAAGGAGAGATGAATAGGCAGACCACAGAGGACTCTTAGAGCGTAAACCTATTCTGTATGATATTAAAATGGTGGATAATTGTCATACGTTTGTCTAAACCCACAGAATCTGCACCACCAAGAATGAATGCTAGTGTAAACTATGTATTTTGGATAATGATGATGTATCAGAGTAGGTTTATTGATGGTAACAAATGTACCACTGTGTTACAGGATGTCCACAGTGGGGTGGCTGTGCACGTGTAGGGGCAGGGATTATATGGGAAATCTCTGCACCTTCTGCCTAATTTTGCTGTAAACTAAAAAGTGCTTTAAAAATAAAGTTGCTTAAAGTGAATAAATCTCCACATATCTGGAAACTTCAAAATACATAGTAACTACATAGTAATCAGAAGAAAACAAAACCCCAAAATACTAATTATCTAAATTTGTGAATACAAACATCAATTCCCTAAATGAAAATGTAGTGCATTAAATTAAATAAAATATATCTTGAAATTAAATAAAATGCAACAAAATGAAATGAAACATAACATTTGACCCAGCCTTTCCATTCATGGGTTTAAGCCTAGAGAAATTCCTGCATAAGTATAGAAGGGCACATATACCAGGATGTTATCTTGGCATTGTTTGCAGTAACAGACAATTGCAGGTGATCTAGGAGAGTGGAGACAACATTATTAACATAATAAGTAAATTATGCTGGATATGTACAATGGATATTGTACATGGTTGCATGTATAAGCAATATGAAATGTATAACTGTATTGTAGTTATATAAATTAAGCATTCAGAACTTATTTAATGGGACATATTTTATGTGATACATACTCATCATAACACATTTATCAAACTTATGAGAAAAGTGCATAAAAAGAGAAGTGGATATTATAATAAACATGATAAGAAAAAGAATGGCATGAGGATAGTGTGCCATGTGCCATCAACAGAAATATGATCAGATAATTCCTCTGCACCTAAGGTGACTACAAAATAAAAAAGAGAAATAAAATTATAAAGTTTATTTAGATAAATAAACCTATTAATTATTACTATTTTTAATCCTCCAGGAAAATTAAGAACATAATATTTATCAATTATTATTACACTTATTTAAGATGGAGAAAGAGAAGTGCAGAAAAATGTACATTCTCAAGGTCACCCTGAAAATTAAAAAAAAAAGCATAAATAGAACAAAGACGATGGATAAACTCAGGAGTGATTTTCTATCAACTACACACCATTTTCTCTTATTAGAGTAAATATAAAGGGAAAAATGTTAGGAAATAAAAGTGTAAAGTTATCCCGGAGGGATAATATACAGTGTAACTAATTCTTCCTTTTCTCTGTACTGGCAAAAATTACTGAATTACTTTCCAGCTAAAGAAGAAAGGAGAAGTGAAATATCTAAATTTTCTTTTACTGATTTTCTTCAACCTTTATTTTGCAGCAGAAATGGATTTCTCATTCTGAAACCAGCAAAGATTGTCATTTTGCCTTTCTCACTCTGACCTTGGGTCGATTTTCTATTTGCATATTCCATCTGAACCGCTGTATTTCTCAATATCAAGGGCCGGATGCACAGCGAAGCTGTGCTTCTTAATGTATCATCTGTTCACAGTGGTTTTGCACAATGGCTATATGTTGCTTGGAGATGCACAGTTAATTGCAGTAATCCACACAATAAAGTGTAATGCTCAATACTTAAATTACCTCTTTCACATGTTAGGGTTGGGGAGGATTGTGGGGCAAAGATACTTCTAGAGGTTAAAGAAAAATTCACACAGTTTTTCTTTAAATAGTACATCATAAAACATTAAATATCAGTTCATTTAGTCTTACTGGTCCTGTCACTAATAACTTTTTAAAGATTGATATAATAGTGAATACTATACATCTGTTTTGTCTTTTTAAAAAACAAAGTCAAACTGAAGAAAACCTATCCTATCCTAATTTCGATTTTAATACACGTGTTCCTTATCTCTAGCTTTAAAATCTCTTAAAAATTAGCATAGATTACTGAACACGGTAACTCCTTTAAAATATTGTTTATTATAGCATCCTTCAAAAACTCTTGTAAAGCCATAGTTATCATTTCATAATCAGAAGAATCAAATTTAGCTCTTTTATATGAAATGTTAAACATTACAGATTAAATAATCTATATCACAGGAATTTTTGTTTTATTAACATTTCATTTCTCTATTTTCAGTATTTGCCAATGCTAGATATTGATTTCTCTTCCCTAAAAATAAAAATGTGGACATCTTAGCACCAGTATTTTTTTTAGAAATGTAAACCAGTAATATTAGAACTGTACTAAGACTTGTGATCAGCATATAGACTTAGCAGAAGTGTTCATACTGTTCTAAACGCTTTTTTTACATCATTTAATTTTCAAAACCGCTTCATGAGGTAACTATTCTTATTTTAATCATAATTTATAGGAGGAACCTAAGGCCTCAAAGGGGTTAAGAAACTTGATCAAGCACAAATAGTGAGTAAATGGAAATCTGGGATTTAAGCCCAGGCAACTTAACTTCAGAGTGTGTATCTTTAATTAGCATAATATGCTATCCCTAAGACCATCTGTGGAGAGATCAAGTTTGAATCTAATACAGAAAAGAATAGCAGTAAGAATGGTCAGGATGGAGAAGAACATCGATAAGTCTATGCAACCTTCTGTTTTATAATTTCATTCCCAAAAGTGCATACTTCAAATAGGCTTTCCTGCAAATTTAGTTTGGAATATGTATTTGAATTGAATATATATATTCAATATATATTTGAATATATATATATTCAATATATATTCAATATATATTGAATATATATATATTCAAATATATATTCAATATATATTCAATATATATTGAATATATATATATTCAAATATATATTCAATATATATATATATTCTATATATTGAATATATATATATATTGAATATATATATATTCAAATATATTGAATATATATATATTCAATATATATTGAATATATATATATTCAAATATATATTCGTGTATATATATATTCAAATATATATTCGTGTATATATATATATATATATATACAAGATTTATGCCAACTATACCACTCATGTTCATATATTTTTTGTAGAAAGCATTTACACCAGGCAAATACATAAAACATACAGTAGATCACAGTGTTTATAAAACTCATTTCAACGAAAAATATAATTAAATTGTAGTTTTGGTGCTCAAAATGAAAAGAAGCATATGTTTAGTAACTGTTATAATATAGCATTTTATACCATAAGGCTTTTGAATTGCAAGATGTGTTTGTTTAACTTAATTTATTCTAATCTGCTGAACTGGTGATACAAGCACAGAAAAACAAGCCTTTGCTCTCAATGACCAACCAAAGCCTCATATTTCAATACGTTTAATGATTCTGTTTTTACTGTATTTTGTTTCATCTCTTACTTCATGCCCATGAATAAAAATGTCTGAGGTACTGCATTTAGGATTGTTTCCAAAAGAAAATAAAATTATCATCTGTTGACACTTAGAGATTCTCAGGAACTCTGCTCTCTGTTATTTGTCTAATGGTGGGAGATTAGAGTGACTTGTGAACAATTATCATAGCAGAAAGCACAACTTAATGCACTTTCTTCATGGTAAAAGTTTTATAAAAATCTACTTCTTTACTATCACCTATGTTAAACTGTTCCAGGATTCAAATGTTTATGCTTTTATTCAAAACGTTATCATGCATAAACCTAAAGTATTTTGACTTAATTTTACCCAGTACTCATTGTACATCAGAAAAAACTCGGAGCTATATTTAAATTTATAATAAAGTTAAAATTTCTTCTATTTTGTGTAAAAAGGAGGGAAAGATAATAGACCAATACTGATAAAATTAATATCTTACTTTATTATTTACATTTCGTTCATCCTGACACAAAATCAGACAATATGTTTTGGGGAAAAATATTTCTAAATATTTCTGCTTGTAAACCAAAATTATGAAATTGATACTTGAATAATAACTGAAGGAATGACTCATGGAATTGAAGTAAATGAACCAAAAAAAGAATATTTATACCATTCTTTCAGCTATTTTACTGATATCATATTGCTTTTTTTTTAAGTTTAAATTTTAAGGAACAAGTAAAAAATAATTCTTCACTGGTAAAATGGTCCTAATAAAATAAAATAAGATTCAAGCTCTAAAACTGCAGGACAAGAAAGGTATGAGATACAAAATAAGGTTACTAGAACCAGAAGCATCAAAGAAGCAATATCTGAACCAAAACAGAGATAATTCTTTTAGAATAATGGTTTTTAACAGTTTGTCAAACTTAAGTATTTATATACCTCAACAATATACAGAAAACATGTATAGTTTGCATTATATATGTGAATATATATACCTAATGACATACTTAATGACTGTCTTTCCTCATTTAATACCATGAACAAATTCATTCAAGTAGTGTTATATGTATCTGATTACTATTCTAATCATAATTACAGAACTTAAAGTACACAAGTTAAAATATTTTTTCTTCGAAAATTATTACACACTAACCAACATACATGCAAACTCATTAATTTAACTCCCCACATTTTGCTAGAGAGAAAACTGAAACACAGGAGTTGAGTCAGTCAAAACACCACGTAGCAATGTGGTACAGGCATTTGGATATTTGAGCCTCAAACACTTTGAGTAAGGAATCCTCCTATGGAATGCTGCGTAGAAGTATAATAAAATAAAATTAATGACATAAAATAAAATTAATGACATTTTAAAAATGACCTCTTCCTTTGAAAACCAACCATTTTGATGAAATAAATATCATACAATTAGCTTTAATCTGTTTTTATAAAGATTAGATTGAGAGATGTTCTCTTCAAATTCAAACTGATTTTTAAGTTTGAAAAAAATGAAATGAATGATTAAGCATTACTACAAAAGAAAATAAACCTCCTCCATGTTATTGGAAGTTTCAGCATTGAAAAGTAATTTTTTAAGTGTGGGAACAGATTTATTGATAATTTGTAAACTATATGATATTCTATTGAATGTTTATCCAAATAAACTGTATGCATATTTCTAAGGATTATATTTCTTAGTACTCTTTTTGTAACAAAACATACTGGTAATTACTAGTCCTCATATGCAAAATATAGAACAGATAATATTTTAAGGAAATTCTGGGTAAAATTCCCAATTACATGAATTAAAGATTCATGGAAACTACGTGTGTATTACATCATACTCATTATGAACCGTATTTGAACTTAACGAGCAGAAATCGCATGGAGAGATATTGTATGATTTAAAATATAGATAAAATGTGATTTTGCTATTCTCCTGGGTTGCCCACTGCTAGTAGTTCACATTTGCACATTGTCTCAGTCTGTTTGTGCTGCTGTAACAAAATACCTGACACTGGTAATTATAAATAACAGATATATATTTCTTACAGTCTGGAGGCTAGGGAGTCCAAGATCAAAAGGCCGGAAGATTTGGTATTTAGTACTGGCTACTCTTTACTTAGAAGATGGCACCTTGTTGCTTATCTAACGTGCTCTCTTCAGTCTCTTTTATAAAGTCCCCCATTTCATTTTGTAAAGTCCCCACCTCAATACTATTGCATTGGCAATTAAGTTTTGACATATGAATTTTAGAGGACATATTCAGACCATAGTATCATCAAACTCTGAAATGTGCTCCCCTGTGGAAAGATAATATAATAATATTGAACTACAGAGTGAAAGTTATCATGCCTTGCTAACTTTCCATATTTCTGAAAATTACTTATTTGGCTCAAACTTTTTTTAAAAAAAATTAGATATTTGTGGTATCTAGAAAAGAAATTAATGACATTATCATTTTATTGATAAGGAATCACCTCATGAGTTGATGAAATTATAATATTTTAATTATAATTCATAGTGAATTAATCATAATTCACTATGAGTCAAAGAAGGACATGCTAAAATGCCAGTGACAGTAAACAGACTAGCAAAAAATTTAGAAAGACTGTATAATTTGGCTATGAGAATGATGTGCTTGCATAACAATGATTCTTAATTCCTAAGAAAAACAAAATAATAAGAATTCCATAATTATTGCCTTTTTAATTGTAATTGAAAAATAGTAATGGTTTCATTGTAATAAATATTTCATTTAAAAGAATACTTTCATATTTTTTTTCATAATAAACACATTTTGAAACTTGAACATGTAGAAATTATGTATCTTGAAAAATAACTTATGCCTCACTAGCCATTAATAATACACATAAATATTTATTGACTTTCTATTTTAGATTTAATTATCTACCCTTGTATTCTTTATCATGTGATAAATGAGATGAGTTATAGTCTCAGAAGGTAACACAGGAAAACATTATGTTTAATATATATAGAGAGAGAATATGTGTGTATAAATCTAACATAAATGATATAAGGATATAGTTCTCTGTTAAGATGAATAAAATGACTCAAATAAGACTCACATCCTTCAGGCTTTCTATATTTAATTACGTTTACTTCTATGGAAAACTTATCTTGCACACAAACTATACTCCTTGAGGGCAATATTTACGAGTATTTCATATTGCTTTCAGAGATCTCCTATCATTATGAGTTTGCTTCTCACAGGCTTTTAATGGAACACACAAAATAATCTACACTATGTAAAATGAGAACTCATGTGTCTAGTCATACTTCATAAAACATTATTTCACACATGCAATGCTACCAGAACACAAAATCACTTATTCCCTAAACTAATCATGTACTTTCTCAGATCTATAAATTTCCCCTTTCTGGAATGATCCTATAAAATAATCCATCAGAAAATGGCCAAGTTCAAAGACCACTATCTCTATGAAGACTGTCCTCTCCTCCCTCAGTCAGAAAATTATTCATGAAAAGCCTTAGACCAGAGAGAAATTGCCCCCGAGGATTCTCTGTAAATCCATAAACATTTTCAACAACATCTTTGTTACAGATTTAATAATGTGCTGCTTCTTATAATGTTCTTAAGTTCACGCCATGACATCAACTGAAAGCATGGAGCTACATGGAGCCAACAGTTTATAGTCAAAACACATAGGTCTCTGACAGTTGGACTTATCTGGGGGATATACTGCAGAGTATCAAATGCAGAGGTTGCTCTTCAGAGACCTGGAATTGTCCTGAAGAATCCCTGGGAAGAGACAGCAGTGCTTATTTACCCAGATCTCCGAGAGCACTTTATACAATTGTAGTTTTTTTGGTAAATTTGGCTCTTTATAGGATTTTATTTGAAGAAGAGATTCAGCAACTCCCTTTTGGGCTTTTCACAGATTTGAGGCAGTAGTAAATTGGAGATTATGCTTCCAGCCATTCTATGTTGTCAGTTACACTGTATTTATATTCCTACAGACAGTGGGGTTGAGGTGGTGTTGACAGGCTTTTGTAAAAATCCAGCCATTATAATGTAGTCCTAAAATAAAAGCCATCCTACTTCCTGTAGGAGATAAGCCAAGAGCAGGCTGACAGAGAGAAATAAAAATTATGCTAATTAAATAGTGGTACACATCAGGAGTATGGTAAAAACCTGGCCAGAGAACATTATTTACAAAATTCATAAATACCACTTTATTTTTCTTAATAGAAGCTGCTATCATTAGATACATTGCCGCATTGCAAAAAAAAAAAAAAAAAACTATTAGCAATGACTTATTCTACTCCTCTATTACTTGTTAATAGCCATAAGTTGAATTTTTTTCTGATGAGTAGAACATTTGAATAACATGAAGAATTGTAAGTAATTATAATATTTTTACCATTCATCATTGTCATTGTAAACATTTCCATCTATTGATCCATCTGGTAGGGTAGTCACATGAGTAAAAGTTTTATTCTTTAATAATAGGAAAAAATATTCTTCAGCTCCTACTGGCCAAAGAAGAACACTCATGGCTTTAGTTAAACTTTTTAAAGCTATAACTGTAAAGAAACATGCATTTTAGAAAAAGAGATAAGGTAAATAAGTTTTTAAAATGCTCACATATGGTTTTGGTATATTGATAATATGGTATAGTTTTACCTATGCTGTGGCCAACCAATATCTTGAGCATATATTCCTGCAATTTAACAATAATATGATTTACATGTAAATTTTTCTTCATTTTGTTGCATTATTTGATGTATATGATAATACCGAGGTAATGAGTATAGCTGACATCTAATTTCCCATCATATACTAAGCTCTGTTTAAAGTATTTTGTGTTCATTTTCTCATTTAATTTTGAGGAAGATATTAATTTTACAGAGGTTTACTGACTCGCTAGGTTTGATAACTTGCCTCTGACCCCAAATTTAATAGGCGATGGAGAGGGCACATGGAGCTTGGCCAGTCTAGATTACATGTAAGCACCATGTGGAAGGACTTAACTTTTTGGTTGAGAAAATTTCATTTCATTTGATTAGCAGTGGAGATAAAATCATGTCTCCATCATTGTCTAGATATATACACTCAAGCAAATTACTTCTTAACTTTATTAAGCCATGTTTCCTTCATTTGTAAAGTGGGTATAACAGTAGTATTTGCTTCAGAGGGTTCACGTGAATAATAATTTAAATTAGATAATGGATGTAACACTATAAATGATAATCACTATTGGCCTTTTTGCTTATTTTTTTTAATTTTTAATTTTTATGGGTACATAGTAGACGCATATTTTATATATATATATATATATATATATATATATATATATATATATATATATATATATGGAGTGCCTGAGATATTTTGATACAGGCATACAATGTGTAATCATCATATCAGGGTAAATGGGGTATCTATTACCTCAAGCATTTATCATTTCTTCATGTTGCAAACATTCCAATTATACTCTTGGTTATTTTAAAACATATACTAGATTACTGTTAACTGTAGTCACACTGTTAAGTGTAGCACAACTGTTGTGCTATCAAATACTTGATCGTATTCGTTCTACCTAACTATATTTTTGTACCATTAAATCTACTTCCTCCCACCCCAATACCTTTTCCCAGCCTCTGGTAACCATCATTCTACTTTCAATCTTCATGAGTTCAATTATTTTAATTTTTAGCTCCCACAAATGAATGATAACACGTGAAGTTTATCTTTCTGGGCCTGGTGTATTCCAATTAACATAATGTCCTCCAGTCCCATCTATGTTGCTACAAATGACAGGATCTCTTTCTTCTTTATGGCTAAATACTACTCCATCTTGTATATATACCATGTTTCCTTTATTCATCCATCTGTTGATGAACATTTCAGCTGCTTCCAAATCTTGACTACTGTGAATAGTGCAGCAATAAACATGACAGTGCAGATATCTCTTCCATATACTGTTTTTCTTTCTTCGGGGTATGTACCTAGCAGTGGGATTGCTAGATCATATGTTACTTCTATTTTTAGTTGTTTGAGGAAGCTTCACACTGTTCTCCATAGTGGCTGTACTAATTTA
Organism: Homo sapiens; assembly: GCF_000001405.40. Taxonomy (NCBI): domain Eukaryota; kingdom Metazoa; phylum Chordata; class Mammalia; order Primates; family Hominidae; genus Homo; species Homo sapiens. The sequence goes on along the minus strand of NC_000004.12, from coordinate 91,490,147 downwards.
CTTTCCTACCAATAGTTGAGGAAGGCTCCCTTTTCTCCACATTTTCACCAGCATTCATTATTGCCTGTCTTTTGTATATAAGCCATTTTAACTGGGGTGACATACCTCATTGTACTTTTGATTTGCAATTCTCTGAGGATCAATGATGTTGAACACCTTTTTGTACACTTGTTTGCTGTTTGTATCTCTTTTTTGAGAAATATCTATTCATATCTTTTGCCTAGTTTTTAACTGGATTATAAGAGTTTTTTGCTATAGAGTTGTTTGAGGTCCATATATATTCGGGTTGTTTTTAAGTTTTGGTCAGAGAGTATCATCATCCAAGAAGTCCTTTAGGAAGCTCAATCTTTTTTTTATTTTAAGATGGAGTCTCGCTCTGTCTCCCAGGCTGGAGTGCAGTGGAGCGATCTCGGCTCACTGCAACCTCTGCCTCCTGGGTTCAAGTGATTCTCCTACCTCAGCCTCCCAAGTAGCTGGGATTACAAGTGCGTGCCACCACACCCAGCTAAGAGATGGGGTTCTGTCCTGTTGGTCAGGCTGGTCTCTAACTCCTGACCTCAGGTGATCAGTCAGCCTCAACCTCCCACAGTGCTGGTATTACAGGCATGAGCCACCGTGCCCGGCCTAGGAAGCTTAATCTTGCAGTGAAGGGAAAAGTGGAGATTGGGTAGATACTGATGTCAAAGACTATCTAACTGTTCCAGGGACTACATAAATAATGCATAAGCAAGATAGTAAGGGATAAATGAAGGCAGGCTGCCCCAGAGATAAAACATTGTAAGAAACAAAAAAAGAACTGTCTAATTACTTTCCGTATTACTCAGAATAAAATGGAAAATCTGTGTGGGGGCCTGCAAGATTGGCATAATCTGCTGCTCTTACTCATCTACATTTCTGACCTCATATTCTACCCCAATACCTCTTCTACCCCTCTCTGCTTTGGTCACTTAATTCTAGTCATGTTCCTTCATTTCTTTTCTTCCAAAAGGACTTTCAAGCATATGACTCAGGGTATTAGCACTTGCTATTTATTCTCACTTAAACATCATTTCCCCATGTATCCACAAGGCTTACTCAATCACTTTTTTTCTAGGACTCGCTATGTAAATGTAACCATCTGAAAGGAATCTTTCCTGATTACAAAATAATGCTTTCTTCCATTTTAGACCACTCTCTTTTCATTTGTGTTTTTTGATGCTTGAAACTTATGACTTCCTAACAAATTGTATGTTTGTTTAGTTTTTCTACCTATAATCTCCTGACCCTTACTACAATGCAGTACAGTCTATGACCGCAGGGGCTTTGTTTATTTCACTGTTGTATCTCCATATTAGTTCATTCTAGCACTGCTATAAAGAACTACCTGAGAATGGGTAATTTATAAAGAAAAGAGGTTTAATTGACTCATGATTTTGCAGCCTGTATAGGAAGCATGGCTGAGGAGGCCTCAGGAAACTTAGAATCATGGTGGAAGGTGAAGGCGAAGCAGGCACATACTGCATGGCTGGAGCAGGAGGAAGAAAGAGCTGGGCAAGGTGTTACACACTTTTAAACAACCAGTTCTCGTGCTAACTCACTCACTATCCTGAGAACAGCAAGGGGGAAATCTGCTCTCATGATCTGATCACCTCCCACCAGGCCCCTCCTCCAATGCTGGGGATTAAAATTCGATGTGAGATTTGGGTGGGGGTACAAATCCAAACCATATCAATCTCTAAGGCTTAGAATAGTGTCTGACACATGGTAGTTTCTCAGTAAATGTTTATTGAATTAATGAATTTCTATCATTATTTGGTAGTTGGATTGGCTATAGAAAATTCATATTTAGGGATCCATGAATAATTGAAATTGATTTTAAAAAATCACATAAAATAATTGCCATATAAAATGAAAAAGAACAGAGTGGAAAATACAAACAATTTTATTTGATAATAGGCAAATGTCCATTTAACTCTTAATTTTTGGATAACCGCTTATGCGAACAAATAAATAGAAAATATTGATTGAACACCCTGCGTTTTTTTCCTTTTGAAGTATACTATTAAAATCATAAGAAGCACATATTGAGATAGTAAGCATGTGAAAAATTTAGTTATTTTCAAATGCTTTCTATAAAATATTTCTTAAATCACAATCATTTCAAATGATCGTATTTAATTTTTTATTAATTTTATATTTTGTCTTATATAATTTAACTTAAAAGTAATTTTACAACAGAATAAAAATATAACATTTCAGGTATGTATACCATGTCATATCTGTGCATATCTGAAACAAATATACAATTTGAAACTATTTTTACTCTAAAAATAGTCATGTTGTTCTAATTATGATATATAGTTGAATGTTATGTATAATGTATAATGTCAACAGACATACATATAGAATTTATACTGTACCAGATACCAAATTTAGTGATATTCAAGTGAATGAATTGATATGAATGAATTCCATTTAAAGGAAATTAAAATTATAGAAAATTTGAGAGTTACATAATATTATATTAAGCAACTATATGGCTCTGTTCTTTTGCTTGTGCAACTACAAACTATTGAAACATAATAATCTAAATAAAATTAGGCAAATAACCATCTGGTTAATGTAAATAGTTGGTAGTAAAGTACCCATTTCCTGACTTACTACCTGTTCCATTAGAACTTTTACTTTATCTGATAACATACAAATTACTTAGTTTTCTCTATTATTCTGTAACATGACTCTTTGAACATATTTGTTTCCACACATAAAACTTTCTCCACAACAAAAGAGCAGTAAGAATTGTGCAAATTAGTTTCCCCTGAGTTCAAAGCATGCCTTGTGTATTTACTGAGTGAGTAGACCCTTCCTGCTGCCTCTTGACTTATGTTTCCCAAAGTTGAAGGTATTCTAAACGTAAAATACCAAAAAAAGTTGAAAGGAAGAACTTAAATTTCGACTCTAATTGAAACCATAATGCTACCTAAGTTTCCCACAATGTAACAAATCCTACTTTTTCTATGACTATTCCAAGGCAAAAAATATATCCTGTATTTATTTTGTAAGAAGCTGTGCTGATTCTATTTGTAAATTAATAGTTTCTTTAATAATGGCCTATATGCCATTAAAAATACAAGTAACCTCTTTAAGCACATGTATATTTGGTTTATGTATATCAAGACTTCACAATCACATTATATGTTAGTTACATATATTTCAGCAGTTACTACAACATGATTAAAATTTTTATACTAACATTATACAATGGTAATCAATCCCTATAGGAAAAAATCTAAGAGCAGATCTAAAAATATCTATAACTAGCAGGAAATACAGTTGAAATACCTTGGGATCCCAGGGCAACTGGTTCCAGAAATCCCCCATCCCATACCAAAATCCACTGATGTTCAAGTCCCTTATATAAAATGGCATAGTAGTTGCATAAAATCTATCCACGACCTCTCAAACACTTTAAATCTCTTTAGATTATTTATAATACAATGTAAATGCTATGTAAATAGTTGTTATGCTGTATTTTTAAATTTGTGTTTTTTATTTTTATTTTTCAAAATACTTTAGTCCATGATTGAGTGAATCTGTGGATGCAGAACCCATGGGCACAAAGGGCAACAGCCGTGATTACAACTTTAAAATTATTTTACTTTTGTGTATTTTGCTGTTTGAGCAGTTAAAAATGACTAAATAAATTTTGGTAGTAATTAGTATCTGAAATAGTTCCTTTTTTGAAGGCTAAAAGTTTTAAAAGGCATTGTAATATTTCAAAAAAGTGTCTCTAATCTGCCACAAAGGCATTATTTCAAGCCATATTAAATTTATGCTTTTACCAAGAGGACTACATGCTAATTTTTTTTCAGGAGAAAGATCATCAAATTATGCCCTCTTTCTAGCTGAAGGCCCTATAATTTAAAAGTAATTTCTAAGAAATACATTTTGATACAATTGATATTACAAAATAACAAATATATTTTTAAATATATACAATATATTTTCATAATAGTAAATATGCTTTCAACATACATTCTTAAAATTTTAATAAGAAATTGCTAGGAAAGTCCAGTGGAAAATGCAATTCTCAATAAAATTATAGTTCATTGAATTGAAATATACATAAAGTGGTGTAAAAGGATGAGCTTATATTCTACATTAAAAAGAAAACTTGTTTTAAGTTCCAATTTTCATGAACTATATTTTCCTACATACTGAGGACCTTCATTTCATCATTTAAAATATATTCATGTAGATATTCCTATTCAAAAAATTATTAGTCTTTTTGGTCTATTTGTATGCAATGATCTTCATATTTATTCCCAAAGGATTTAAATCATTGTTGTTTCGATTTTTTGCTTCATCATCTCTATTAGAAGATACAATCCAAGTATATGAAGAAGTGAAAATAATGCCATTTTAAGAGTCAAGAATTTCTGCCTGTACTAGAAAATGTGTCCAAGTGCATTAGTAACTATCTTCTTTAAGTATAGTATGTTACTGAGCAGAAATGTTTTGACAACACAGGCAGCTTGCAAAGGTTAGGTAATAATTGCATGGCAGATTGCAGTTCTATTTGTAGGGCAAGAAGAGTACAAGTGAGTTCACTACAGGTGGAGATAAAAGGCAGGAGAGTATTCAACCGCTGGCTCCTGTTTCTTCAATAATACATGCTACTTTTCCCCTTCTTAATACAGGCCCATATTTTTGTCATAGTGTAAAAACAATGAAGTTTCTCTCTTATAATTCTATTATCTTTGTGCCACAAAAGAAAGGTGACATATATTATCTGAATTTCAAACATTTATTCGTAGCATAAATCTGTCATAATTCTGGAATTAAAATATTTTCCCCGACATTTGAGTCTTTTTGGAGCTTGCCAAATCATCGCTTTGTCCTCTACCAGAGCTCTGTAATAACATATTTGTGAAAATGATATTTAAGAAATGACAGCAAGGTTGATAAATTGGTGCTGGGTTATTGTCATTTCCTATTCATTTTTTTTTTACTGTTTCATACCAAAGAAATGTTATGGGAAATAGCTTTTTATCCATGTAGTAGGAAATGAATCCAAGTCTACATTGACTTTTAGCTGAGAAATTAGGTATAGGGCTCTTGGATCAGTCTGAGATGTCAAGCCTATGAATGGAATTGTAAATCAGTAGTGATCTAAGATTGATTTTCTACAATTATATCAAAAATTTCTAAAATCACTAAAGAAATTCAAATATATTCCAATGACAATGCTACCATTTTAACTGTAATAGCCACAGGTATCGATTTAGACTTTTGATTAGGTAAGAGTGGTTGACAAGAGTTACTGGGAAAGTCTGTTAAAACACAGATAACTGGACCCCAGTCTAAGAGTTTCTGATTCAGTGGTTCCTGTGTGGGGCCTCAAATTTTTATTTTTAATAGATTTGTAGGTGATGCTAATGCTACTGTTTTGGGGATCACACTTTGAGAATCACTGAAGAATTCATTGACAAGTGAACTCTTTAGAAGCTAAAAATCACTTGTCTTCCAATAGAAGATAGTATGAATTCATAAATTATATAAATCATAGGAAAATATTTAGGGATTATCTACAACTTTTAGGCAATGTTTACCTAAAACATGAACATTTATAAATAAATATTATATAGAAATTGTGTTGTTAACTATCATTCTTCAAATATGCTATAGAAGCCAGAATGGATTCATTGATTTGTTGATTTTGTTTAGTAAATAAATATTCCCTGACCCCAATTAGTGTCAGTCATTTGTCTATGCAGTAGTGACTGGGGATGGGAATGAGTGGTCATTTAACAAGTGTAGTCAAGAAATCCTTGGAGGAGTTGACATTTGACATGGAATATGTAAAGAAGTGAGATTTGCAAAGATATAAGAATAGAGTGAGCAGTAGTTCAAGGTTCTAGAGTAACAAAAAGCTCAAATAAGCTGAATTTAGTGTTTTTCAGTTTGTTTCAAAATGCCATACAAAATGCTATGTGATTAAATATTAAGACTGGACTAGAGGTTTCAAAAAAAATTTAAAACAGCTGGTGGAATTTGAGAACTGAATCATGTATACTATTTTTTGTTTTGCTTTGCTTTTTTTTTTTTTTTTTAGAGAATAGGCAGAATAAGACTCAACAGTGCTTATTATATGAGTGTGCTGAAGTTAAAGTTGTAAGCACTATAAGGAACATTCCAAAGAAAATGGCTGCCTACTTGGGCAAGACTATCTTGGAGCTCATGGTAGATAGTTAAACCAGAAAGCAACTCTATTCATTTAAAACTTGGGGTTATCGTTCCCTAGAACTAGAATATTTATGTTTGTTCTTCATGAAGTTCGCATTGTTAGAACGCATGAGAAATTGAATTTCAGAATAAATTACTCTTGACAAAAATAAGATATAATAAAAATGGAATATAATGAAACAGTACAGGCCAGGTGCAGTGGCTTATGCCTGTAATCCCAGCATTTTGGGAGGCCGAGGCGGGTGGGTCACCTAAGGTCAGGAGTTCGAGACCAGCCTGACCAACATGGTGAAATCCCGTCTCTATTAAAAATACAAAAATTAGCTGGGAATGGTGGCAGGTGCCTGTAATCCAAGCTACTTGGGAGGCTGAGGCAGGAGAATCACTTGAACTCAGGAGGCAGAGGCTGCAGTGAGCCAAGATCACCCCATTGCACTCCAACCTGGGTGACAGAGCAAGACTCCATCTCCAAAAAAAAAAAAGTAAAAAAGTATAATAACAGGGACATACTACAACCCAGCTGACTTCAGCAAGGCCTTTAAGTCAGGCCCATAAGAGAGGACATATTTTTCTAGTAGCCAGAAAGCTTAATAATCCCTTCATTCTGACCTCAGACCATTACATTGCTAGAAATGTAACATCAAATTCTTACCCTTTTGGCTGTTTTTCTCTAGCTTCTGTATGTACCATCAGCATCTTTGCCAACACATTCTTCTATTTTATCAGATAGAGTATGACACTATTTACTAGTCTATGAATTTACATTTACTAATTCTTTTTTTTTTCTGGGAAGTCATTTAATTTTTTTCTTTCTTTCCTTTTTTTTATTATTATACTTTAAGTTCTAGGGTACATATGCACAACGTGCAGGTTTGTTACATATGTATACATGTGCCATGTTGGTGTGCTGCACCCATTAACTCCTCATTTACATTAGGTATATCTCCTAATGCTATCCCTCCCCGCTCCCCCCACCCCACAACAGGCCCTGGTGTGTGATGTTCCCCTTCCTGTGTCCAAGTGTTCTCATTGTTCAATTCCCACCTATGAGTGAGAACATGCGGTGTTTGGTTTTTTGTCCTTGCGATAGTTTGCTGAGAATGACGGTTTCCAGCTTCATCCATGTCCCTACAAAGGATATGAACTCATCATTTTTTATGGCTGCATAGTATTCCATGGTGTATATGTGCCACATTTTCTTAATCTAGCCTATCATTGATGGGCATTTGGGTTGGTTGCAAGTCTTTGCTATTGTGAATAGTGCCACAATATATATACGTGTGCATGTGTCTTTATAGCAGCATGATTTATAATCCTTTGGGTATATACCCAGTAATGGGATGGCTGGGTCAAATGGTATTTCTAGTTCTAGATCCTTGAGGAATCACCACACTGTCTTCCAGAATGGTTGAACTAGTTTACAGTCCAACCAAAAGTGTAAAAGCATTCGTATTTCTACACATCCTCTCCAGCACCTGTTGTTTCCTGACTTTTTTTTTTTTTTTTTTTTTTTTGAGACGGAGTCTCGCTCTGTCACCCAGGCTGGACTGCGGACTGCAGTGGCGCAATCTCGGCTCACTGCAAGCTCCGCTTCCCGGGTTCACGCCATTCTCCTGCCTCAGCCTCCCGAGTAGCTGGGACTACAGGTGCCTGCCACCGCGCCCGGCTAATTTTTTGTATTTTTAGTAGAGACGGGGTTTTACCTTGTTAGCCAGGATGGTCTCGATCTCCTGACCTCATGATCCACCCGCCTCAGCCTCCCAAAGTGCTGGGATTACAGGCGTGAGCCACCGCGCCCGGCCCGTTTCCTGACTTTTTAATGATCACCATTCTAACTGGTGTGAGATGGTATCTCATCATGGTTTTGATTTGCATCTCTCTGATCGCCAGTGATGATGAGCATTTTTTCATGTGTCTGCTGGCTGCATAAATGTCTTCTTTTGAGAAGTGTCTGTTCATATCCTTCACCCACTTTTTGATGGGGTTGTTTTTTTCTTGTAAATTTGTTTGAGTTCTTTGTAAATTCTAGATATTAGCCCTTTGTCAGATGAGTAGATTGCAAAAATTTTCTCCCATTCTGTAGGTTGCCTGTTCACTCTGATGGTAGTTTCTTTTGCTGTTCAGAAGCTTTTTAGTTTAATTAGATCCTCCACCTGGGCCACTATGATATGCTTTTGAGGAAACCTCAAATTCTTTAGTTTCCTACACATTTAGGGTTTTGTATGTGGCTGATTGTAGCAATGGCTAAACTCTCCCATTATAACTATTTTTCCAATAGTTTCATTTGTAGAGTGTTGCCCAATCTTATTTTGTGGAATAGCTTGCAATCCTCATGTTAGGGGCTAAATTGTGTCTCACTAAAATGTGTATGTTGCAGCTTTAACCACCAGCATGTCAGAATGTGACAGTATTTGGAGATAGGGCCTTTAAGGGGGTGATTAGCTTAAACAGGCCATTAGGGTAGGTCCTCAACCAACCTGATTTGTGTCTTACGAAAAGAGGCAACGTGGACACAAAAAGAGTCACTAAGTATGCGCAACTACAGAGGAAAGATCACGTGAGAACACAGAGAGAAGATAGCCATCTACAAGCTAAGGAGAAAAGCTTAAGGATAAACCAAAACTGCCAACGCTTTGATCTTGGACTTATAATCTCCAGAACTATAAGAAAATATGTTTCTGTTGTTGAGCCACCCAATTTGTGGTACTTTGTTATGGCAGCCCTGGCAAACTAATACAGCATATCATTTCTGATTATGAAGTCATTCAAACACTGCATGTCACAATGGTTGACATAAAGGAAAGGAGAGGCTGTAGGGGAGGGGAAGGGAAGGGAAGGCAGGGGTGGGGAGGGGAGGGGAAGGGAGGGCAGGGGTGGGGAGGGGAGGGAAATGGTAGGGAGGAAAACAGATATAAAATCAGAGATGAAGGCTAAGACTGACTCTCTCTCCCTCTTCCTCTCTCTCACTCACACATACACACACAACCTAAGAAAAATGTCACTCAACAAAAATGTACTCCCAGTAGAACAATGATTTATAGATTGAGTACCTGTTTTTGAATTCAATAGTGATTGAGAAGACACTTGTTACATATTAACAGTTTCTTTAGAAGTAAGAAGTGTCACGTTCTATCATTTAAAATTAGGAGATGGGATTTTAAAACAGTTGTGCTCTAGACTGCTGTTTCCAACATGGAAAAAACATCTCCTGGAGTTAGGTGACATTTAAAAAGATAAGGAAATGACTGTAGTCTTCTGCTACTCGGTTATACTTTGGAACTGGGCAGAGATATGTGAAGTGCTCTTGCAAAACAAAGTGCATAAACATGAAACATTTCTGTTACAGTACACAGAACAGAAACAGACAAAAACAAAGATTGGTGTCAATCTCAATGACATTCAGGTTTGCCATACTGGAGCAAGTAGTGTTAGGCCATCAGACAAATGCAAATCAAAACCACAATGAGATACCATCTCACACCAGTTAGAATGGTGATCATTAAAATGTCAGGAAACAACAGGTGCTGGAGAGGATGTGGAGAAATAGGAACACTTTTACACTGTTGGTGGGACTGTGAACTAGTTCAACCATGCTGGAAGTCAGTGTGGTGATTCCTTAGGGATCTAGAATTAGAAATTCCATTTGACCCAGCCATCCCATTACTGGGTATATACCCAAAGGACTATAAATCATGCTGCTATAAAGACACATGCACATGTATGTTCATTGCGGCATTATTCACAATAGCAAAGACTTGGAACCAACCCAAATGTCCAACAATGATAGACTGGATTAAGAAAATGTGGCACATATACACCATGGAATACTATGCAGCCATAAAAAATGATGAGTTCATGTCCTTTGTAGGGACATGGATGAAACTGGAAATCATCATTCTCAGTAAACTATCGCAAGAACAAAAAACCAAACACTGCATATTCTCACTCATAGGTGGGAATTGAACAATGAGATCACATGGACACAGGAAGGGGAATATCACACTCTGGGGACTGTGGTGGGGTGGGGGGAGGGGGTAGGGATAGCATTGGGAGATATACCTAATGCTAGATGACGAGTTAGTGGGTGCAGCGCACCAGCATGGCACATGTATACATATGTAACTAACCTGCACAATGTGCACATGTACCCTAAAACTTAAAGTATAATAAAAAAATTAATAATAATAATAAATAAATAAATAAAAAAGAAAGAAAAAAAAGAAAAAAAAAAGAATAAGAATAAACTGCTTTCCATAAATGTTGTACCAATTCTTAGTCCCATTAGGAAGTATCTCCATCTTACCATACCCTGAACAGCATTATTGTCACTAAAAAATTGAGACTCAACCAATAGTATTTCAGTATTATTTATCTTTGGTGGTGATTTGATTTACCTTTCATTATTTTATTGTAATTATTTGACTAATTTTCATGTTTATTCACTATATACAATCTTTTTGTGTGTGATTCTTCTAGTGACGTTTTCTATCCAGTTTTTTCATTAATATTATTTTCAAAATGAGGATCCTAATTCTCTATCATATCAGTTGTAAATATTTTATGCCAATTTGAAGTTTATCTTTTAATTTTAGGAATTTTTAATGTACAGAAGCTTTAACTTTTCACGGAATCCATGTAATCCCATCGCTTTTTATATTTAAATAGTTCCCTAAGACCAGAGTAAACTAAACGTTCTTTGTCACAATTTTCAACATAATAAAAGTTAATTTTATTCTAAAAAAAAAAAGAAAGAAAATATTCAACAAAATGTTTTTATTTTGCTGATGTCAATTTCATAATTTCAAAATAGATCCTTAAGTTGTAGTATTATTTTCATTTTATTTTAACTTTTGTGCATAATAACTTATCCCTCTAATGAATAGTGAAACATACTATTTGCAATTGTGCTACTACATTAAACGTATGTATATTTGCTTAATTATAAAAAAATAAAGTCACAAACATATATTACTAAAGTGTGTTTAGGCTAATACTAGTAACAGTTTATATAACATTATTTTACAGAGTAAATTAAAAATCTGCAATGCTAAATATAGAAGATTTAATTATAATGAGTATTTTTATATATTTCTTAAATTCTATATTAAACGCAATGTCTTATTTGACTGAATAAGTAGGTCTCTTGTGGTATATATAAAGTAGGTATAGAAATATAAGTAATGTCATCTATATGATCAACTGAAATATTTATAGCTTCAAAGTCTGCCCATAGTTATACCATTTCGAACTTTGACATTTAAAAAAAATCATGTTTAACTACACTTTTTTGCAGATGTCATACTATATATCCACTAATTGTTTCTGATGTCTAGCTTTGGCATTTTTAAAGCACCACTAGAATTTAATACATTTGCCTATCAATCTGAATGCAGAATCTCTGAGACTGTTACGATTTTTTCATCTTTTTTAGTGACTGATCCTTATTGAGACTGTCTCAAGTATTCAACTTAGTTTTTAAATAAAAATCACGTAATTATATTTTAAACAATTTTCTACAATATTTAACTAAATGACATATTGTTTCTATAACAAGAACAATTGGGTAATAATTCATATTTAAGATTAATAAAAACAGACTCTTGAAAATAAAATAATTTACTTGTAGAAATAATGTAATTGCCCAGCAGCTAAAATGTAGTTGAATAGTTCTAATTTACAGTCAGCAGGAATAACCAGTAATTATATTTTATAGAAATAATTGAAATCAGTTAGTCCAGCAAGTTATTAATACTTTAGAAAAGCTTGGGATCAGTAAGATTTTTTTGAAAGACTTTTCAGGAAACATTGAACAATGACTTCTATATTCCTTTTAATGATCGTAAGCAATGGCTACAAACTTATAAACCAATAAATATGATTTGGGTATTTGCCACCTGATGAATTAAGATTATTGTCTAGTGGTCAAGAAGACTGGAATATAGTCGTAATACTTCATTCTATGACCTTGAATCAGTCATTTACTATCTGGGCTTTTGATTTCTTTTCTATTTGTAAAATGACAGTAGGAACCATATGCCCTCTAGCTCAAAGATATCTTTATGTTTATCAACAAGAAGAATTTGATGCATATATACTACCCAAGCCATTGTTGATTTGGTGTGTTGTTTTAAATGGCATTAATAATGTAAGAATTTTTATTGATTTCTCTTTCACCTTTGGAAAGCCACAAGTGAAAGATAAAATCCTTAGTTTTCAGTACACTTTGGAAGTTATTATAATAAATTTTAATTGCTTTATTTTTTCAACCTTTTGATTATTTATTTAGCATTATAACCATAACTTGACATACATGTGAAAAAGTACTTGAAAACTACTTTTGAAAATTAGATTATAGGCTATAATGTTATTAAACCTATAGGACACTGTAAAGGATATCATGTTAAATCTTTCCTCAGAAAATAGAGAAGTATTAATAAAAAAAATTGGAGCTATAAATAATTTTACAAAGCATTAAATCCAAACCCTGCATTTCATAGCTGAAATTATGTAAGCCTAGTATTACAGTAGATTCTAGAACCCATGGTCTAGAACCAAAATTCAGTGCTCTTGCCACCAAAACTTTAGTATCTTCAGAAGGAAAACCAATTTAAAAATTATCTGAAAACAATGTGACATGTCTTCTTTTGAGAATTGTCTTAAGAACATTGGCTCATTTTTAAATTGGATTATTATTATTTTTTACTATTAAGTTATTTGAGTTCCTTATCTATTCTGGGTATTAATCCTTTGTAGAGTGAATAATTTGTAAATATTTTCTCCCATTCTGTGGGTTGTCTCTTCACTTTGTTGATTGTATCCTTTTCTGTGAAGAAACCTTTTAGCATGATGTAATCCATTTGTCAATTTTTGCTTTTGTTGTTAGTGTTTTTTGAGGTCTTACTGAAAAGTAAGACCTTGCCTAGACCACTGTCCTGGAGCATTTCCCCAATGTTTTCTTCTAGTAGTTTCATACTTTCACATCCTATGTGTAAGTCTTTAATCCATTTTGATTTTATTATGTATTAATTGAGAGAGAGTAATCTAGTTTCATTCTTCTGCATATGAATATCCAGACATCCCAGCATGATCTATTGAAGAGATTGTCCTTTCTTCAATGTATGTTTTTGGTACCTTTGTTGAAAATGAGTTGGCTATAAATGAGTAAGATTTATTTCTGAGTTCTCTATTCTATTATTCTGTTCTATTTGTCTATGGGGTTTTTTTTGTTTTTTTGCCAGTGTCATGCTATTTTAGTTACTATAACTTTGTGGTATATTTTGAAGTCAGGTAATATGATGTCTCCAGCTTTGTTCTTTTTCCTCAAAATTGCTTTGGCTATTTGAGGTGTTTTGTTGTTCCATATAAATTTTAGGATCATTTCATTTTTAAAATTTCTGTGAAGAATGTCATTGGTATTTTTGTAGGGATTGCACTGAACCTGTAGATCACTTTGGGCGGTATGGACATCTTAACAATACTAAGTCTTCCAAGACACACAAATTGCCAACAGGAATATGAAAAAATGCTCAACATCACTAATCATAAAGGAAATGCAAATCAAAACCATAAAAAGATATATCATCCCAGTTAAAATGTCTATTTCTTACCAAAAAGACAGAAAATAATGCTTGCAAGGATGTGGAGAAAGGAGAGACTCATATACTGTTGGTGGGAATGTAAATTAGCATGGCAACTATGGAAAACAATATGGCAGTTTCTCAAAAAATTAAAAATAGAACTACCATATAATCTACCCATCCCACTGATGAATATGTATCCAAAAGAAAGGAAATCAGTATATTGAAGCAATACCTGCACTTCCATATTTATTGCAGTGCTATTCACAATAGCCAAGATAAGGAAACAACCTAAATGTCCATCGATGTATGAGTACTTAAGAAAATATTGTCATACACAATAATATATTATTCAATCATAAAAAAGAATGAAATCCTGTCATTTGCAGCAACATGGATGGAACTGGAGGATATTATGTCACATGAAATATGCCTGATACAGAGAGACAAATATCACACATTCTCACTCATATGTGGGAGCTAAAAAAATTAATCTCATGAATACAGTGAGTAGAATAGTGGTTACCAGAGGCTGGGAAGAGTAGCAGGGAAGGAGGAGATGTTAGTTAATAGGTATAAAAATTCAGATGGAATGAATAAGTTATAGTGTCTGGTAGCACAGTAGGATGATTACAGATAACAAGAATTTATAGTATATTTCAAAATAACTAGAAGATTTGTAATGTTCCCCACACAAATCAGTAATAAATGTTTGAGGTAGTAGACTCCTCTATTAATCAGAAGAGAAAGAAAAGGTGGCAGGGGGTCAACTTTTACTAAATTAAGTGCAAGGCACTGTGATTCTTAACACATCTCAAAACTCTGTGTTTTAAAATTACAATAGAAGGTATTATTACCCCCCTTTTAGAATATAAGGTAAGAGTTTATATAACAAGTTTGGGATATTGGTAATAAAATGAATAGGACCTTAGTTGACTCCAATATTAAATGTGCGCCTTCGTACCATATCAACCTCATATCTGCTCTGAAATCACATTAAAATTTTCAAGTGAAGTAAGAGCATTTCTTATTTACTATCCCTATATCTATTTTACTGTATCTATTTTACAAAAGATAGTGATGTTCAGGGTCTGAAGGAGAAGGCCTAGCCATATGCAGGAATATAAAAGTAAAATTAATCCACATTAAACACACACACAAACACACACACACAACATCCTTTAAAACATAGTCACTTACAAAGGAATGACAATTGTCCTGGACAACAAAATTCTCATCAGCAGCAATGTGTAACAGTAGAGACTCTATGATTCATAGTTTCTTATATGAGACTGTCTCACCTTCCTTCCAACATCAACTTCCACCAAAAAAAGTGACCCTAACCCACCTTTATTACCCAATGCTCAAAATTAGCTACATGTTATACAAAATTTATAAATAAATAAACATGCAATGATAAATACACAAGGATAAAACTGAAGGTGCAGTTTTACACTGAGTCATGTTATTACATTCTACTTTTTATCCCTCAAATTTGGAAGGCAATGTGTGTGTGTGTGTGTGTGTGTGTGTATATATATATATATATATATATATACACAAATATATATATATATACACACACATGTGTGTGTGTGTGTGCATGTATGTATACATGTGTGCCTAAATTTAGCCACAAGAAGACTGAGAGAAGAAAAGGATGCTGTGAAGAAACTCCCCAAAATGGAGAGTGGGTTCATAGATTGCAACATATCCCATCATGAGGCAGCCTGATGTGGTAAAATGTAAATGAGAACTACTATCAAATCTTGGTTTGCGACTTGTATTCCTCATTGGCATTAGTCTTCCATTTAAAAAATTGATGTAATCATTATCCCAAAGAATTTTGTTTTAAGAATAGAATAGAATGATTTGAATTAAAAAGATTTATCAACTGTAAAATTCTATATCCATATCAGAATAAGATATTATACATATTTATTAAATGTGTGATTATATATGTAATTATATAATTGTAACACAATATAAGAAATAAAAATTTATTATCCATTATTAATTCATTTTTATTTCCTAGTCTGGATGTTTAAATTATTTTAAACTGTTATACAAAGATTTTTATCCATTTTGTGGTGTTATATAGGGAATAATGAAAACACTTATGTTACATACAAAGGTTTTGTTTTTCTTACTGTGAATTGAATCTTAATCCCACCCAGTGTTTAACTTCTGATCCCAGTTTTACTGTGTAAAAATCACCAAAATTTTGATGAGGCTAGTCAAGGAAATTAGATAGAACATGCAAAATACAGCAATAGAGCATTTGTTACTCATGACTCTGAAAATCTAGAACATCGAAGAAACTTAAAGAATACACAACACTACTTTTAACATTAATATATGAATTATATTCTCGAAAAATGATTCGGGAAGTTAATTTGAGGGAATAATACTTGTTTTTCAGAATAGTCTCTTTGAGGTTAACAAAGAAACAGACACTACAGAGTTGATTAAAATATACTTAGAAGATGTGGCCAAGCCTGGATGCCTAGTCAGCTATCTCAGCATAAGATCCACATATGAAATAAAACCAGGCAAATGAGATAACAGGCCCATAGTTTCTGAGTCTCATGCTAATAGTAAAAATAATAGCCATGATTTTCTGAGTGCTGACAGTATGCCAGGTGTGGGCTAGGCTCTTCAACACTCTTTTAATTTTTCCTCACAACAAACCTAAGAAGTATATATCATCATCTTAATTTTATAAATAAGAAAACTGAAATCAAAATATTAACTAAATTGTCTGAGATAAAAGAGCTAGCTAGGGTTGTGATTTTAATCTAAGTCTGTTGAATCCAAAAACCCTGTTCTTCCAGGGTCCTTCTAAAACATGGTCCTTCTAAAACACCCCTGTGACTAAGAAATCCCAGACCAAATGAGGTACGAACCCACAATCTCTGACTAACGAGACCAGTACTTGATCTCTGTTCTTTTGTGATTTCTACTGTGGATGACTTAAAAGGGAATACTTTATGAGAAATGATGTCAACTGTGCAAAGAGCTGCTTCATGGCATCACCAGGTTTTATGTTCCTTTGTATGCCCTACTCAGAAGCTTCCACAATGAAAATTACTTTCTGAAAGCATATGGACTTTTATGTTATCTTTTTCCACTAGTTAAAAATGTTTATGATGAACAGTAACTTTCCTTACATTCCAAGTTTGCTCATCTCAAGGAGAAGCTCTGCAGACTTTGTCTGGAGTTGGCTGAGCAAAGGATTATGTTCCCCCTAATACCATGTAATACTGGGCATTGGCGGAACACACAGAATATGAAATATCATTTGGAATTTGGAGTTGGTAGTAACCACAACTTAACCAGGGATAACACAGATCACAGACTGTCATAGGAAAAACGAGAATATCAGGAAAGGCATTCATCAGTAATCTACCTATCTGCTCCTTTGACAGTTCTTGCTGACCATTATGTGATATAAACTGTTATGATGATGGATAAAGAGGACAGAACAGTGTCCAGAGGAAATAATTTGCAGCTAAAGTATCCATCTAATGATTTTTTATGAGAGTCTCCTGACACACTATTGTTAAGGCTTGTCATAAGGTATGACCTGTGATACTGCTAACATCTCCTAAGATTCTGTCTCTATATTATTCAAGGGTCCCAAAGAGCTGCAAAAGAGCCAGTCGAAGAGATTGTGCCTATGAAACTGTCTTGGTACTAGTAACAAATATTACAATCTCAAGATATCAGTGGTTATTATAGAGAAAGATTTTCACCCAGACACAGAATGTGTCATTTACTAACTATGAGCAAAATAAAACAATTCAGATTTTATTTTACATCTACAAGTAGCTTTTGGAAAGATAATATCATGTGGTATGAAAATGCTTGCATACTTCTCAGTCCAAAAAGAAAGGATTGGGGTTTACTATTGATTGATACGATGGGAAAAAAACGTAAAATCTTTACCAAGTAACACTACAGACTCAAGTAAGAACATTTGAGACTCTTGAGTTCCTTTTATTCATGTTAATATGAATTCCAGCCAAGACATTTTAGTGACAATTTTAATTGTTTTACAACTGTCTTGGAAGCTTGTCATATTGCAGCACTTAGAGATGCTATCATAACAGCCTGTCTCAAGAAAACTTCAGCGAAGCCCTAAAATGAAAGCTCACCAGTTGGCAAAGTCACAAATTGATAAAGTACAAGTGAATCGGAAATTCACTAGGTAAATAAAAGCTCTAAGTCATTTAAAAAAACAATGAAAAACAGGTCACCTCTTTTCATGTGTGCCAAGTGAATTCTAAAATGAGACCTAATGATTTTTTTTACTAATAACTTAGTTAAATAAAATCTTTAGTTTTTTTCTTTTTTTTCTTTTTTTTTTTTTTTTTGAGATGGAGTGTCGCTCTGTCGCCCAGACTGGAGTGCAGTGGCACGATCTCAGCTCACTGCAAGCTCTGCCTCCCGGGTTCACGCCATTCTCCTGCCTCAGTCTCATGAGTAGCTAGGACTACAGGCGCCCGCCACTATGCCCGGCTACTTTTTTTGTATTTTTAGTAGAGACAAGGTTTCACTGTATTAGCCAGGATGGTCTTGATCTCCTTCTTTAGATGTTTTTACAGCAACATGGCAAAAATTTATCCTTATGCAACACACACAAAAAATTATAACATCCTACAGGCAAAGGCTTAATGCTGTAGGTACCTCTGAAATCCTCCTCAGTCAGTCTGAAGGGAAAAGAATATCACCACCAAGTGCTGTCAGATCTAGTGAGAGAGCTGTTTACTACATGCAGCAAAACAAGCAGACCGTGTCTCAGGGGAGTGCGTCGTCACGGCTTTGTTAATAGCCTATCCATATTACCTCATGACAACCGTGAGAGTAGCACATCCAGATCCATCCAGCGCGGCTGGGTCACGGTGAACCTGAATGATCTCATCTCCTAGGTGTAGGTCTGACTGTTTCAGCCATCTGTGCACACAGTCTGGGTCCAGCAATTCATTTGGGTAGATTACACTCATGGTAAAGTTACTGGATAGGGTTTCCACAGCATAGTATTTTCCATAGCATAGTGTTTTCTCCTAATTTCTCCATAGTGTTCTTATCCTTCAAATTCAATGATGAGGCTACTGAAAGTCTTCTCTGATGCATTACATCTTAACATTCACCCCTAAAACCTTATATTTTGGCCCAATTAGATGCATGATTATCTCTGAAGCAAATATTGTTGAACTGGACAAAATATTAAAATAAAGATACGATTAGCCCATGGCACTGTAGATGTCATTTCAGCACTAGTTATATAAGTAGGCTTTTTGCATCTACAGATTTAACAGTCGGACTTTCAATCTGAAAGTCCATGAAGTTAATTTGAAATTTTCCAGAGACACACATTTGCATCATATACATTAGAATATGCAGGAATGAGTTTCATAGCTTATGAATGAGCAAAGCAAATGGATTGCTATGAATATATCCTATTTATTATTCATTTGTCTGTGCATACATAATTTTGTGGGGGGAAGAGGGAATTACACGTTCTTATTTGAATATGGAAATTTTCAGAGGTCTTATGACTATCCCTTCCAAAAATCAAGGATTTACTGGCAGATGGTAGATTACAAGAACTCATAGCAGATATGGCTTATTAATTATTTTCTGTTCTGATACCATATTCAACCTAAAATTCCTCTGTACACAGCCCTCCAGGTAACCACTACTATTCTATCAGAATAGGCATGAGAGATAAAAGTCTATATGCTGGCTAGGTGGTGTGGCTCATGTCTGTAATCCCAGCACTTTGGGAGAGCCTGTCTCTAACAACAACAGCAAAAAAGAACAAAGTATACGTGTCATCCCCAGTCTGCTACGTATAAAGCAGCACACACTGGATCTCATTTATTTTTATTTTTTTTACCATTTCAGTCTTCCATAATATAAATATTATTAATAAAATGAAAAGATTAGTTGCAGTAGAAGAAAGCTAGTATATTTAGGAAGAAGAAGGAGGAATAGAATTACTTCCAACTACAAAGGATTTAGATACCTTCTCCATTAGCATATTAGCTTTAAAAACATATTTGAAACTTTAAATGTGAAATAAAATGTTAAATGTCTACAATCTGTACAATACCCTAGCACCTAAGTGTCTATAACTTCACTTCAAATTCAACATTCAGTTTAACAACATTCAGTTTAGCAAGTTTACAAAATATTAAAATAAAGATACGATTAGCCCATGGCACTGTAGATGTCATTTCAGCACTGGTTATATAAGTAGGCTTTTTGCATCTACAGATTTAACAGTCGGACTTTCAATCTGAAAGTCCATGAAGGTAATTTGAAATTTTCCAGAGACATATATTTGCATCATAAACATTAGAATGTGTAGGAATGAGTTTCATAGCTTATGAATGAGCAAAGCAAATGGAGTTTCATAGCTTATGAATGAGCAAAGCAAATTTTAAGTTTAGCAAGTTCACTTGCTAAACTTCTTCTATGATTGCACCACTTAGTAGAGGGCACTGGGAAATCACTATTAATTATCTTCCAAAACATACAAAATTAGTCTTATTTCCTCTTTTAATGTGATTTCTAGACACTTATTAATAAGTATCATAGATCCAATGTAGAATTGTTTAAACAATATGCAGAATTATGGTTGAGCCACTTCATGTAAGGTAGTCATATCTAGTTAAGCATTTGTACACAGAGCATTGAGTATTTGACCTAACTCAACCTAGGGAAGTTCTCCAGGGCTTAGGTTAGTCTAGACTGGTATGATTCTCTTTCACCCTAATCTTTTAAGCAAACTGAGACATTCAAGTCAATGTGAAGGATAACAGGGGGAAAACTACTTGCTAGTTTTGGGGTGCCCCAAGAGAGGAAACAGAGTGAACACACAGTGGTTGATAGGTTTCCTAAAAACTAAGCTGAACGAAAAATCTGCCTTAAAAGCATTATTAGGGAAAATATTATATGTAGAAATACATGTAGTCCACCTTTTCTTAGAGTCAGAACTTTTTTAAAAACTATGTTCTACTGAAGTGATTCTTAAAGCACTTCATGTCTCATTGTTATCTTATATCATAGCAGGCCAGAAGGATTTTTCAGCTAAAATGTCAGCTTTACAAACAGAATTCCCAAGATATGAAGTTTAACTTGCCTAAAGATATGAGCAGCTTGTCAAAAATTTGAAATCAGTAATACACAAGAAAATTAATTGATAAAATGAAAGATCCAATGTAGATTTGGTATATTAGATAAATCTGCATCGAATCTTTCATATTATCAATTAATTTTCCACTACTTATTTTTTCTTTTCACTTTTCTAATAAACTAACAAACTATTTTGAGCAGTGGACTGTAAGATCTGGAAGGCAAAGCTTCTGAAATTGGATAATTAGTTTAGATATGAGATTGAATTTTGGCCTAATATCCCTTAAAATTATATGGACATATTTATGATAGCCTTAGTATCACCAATGAGACATGAGTCAATGGCTTACATCTTGAGATGTATTTATACCTCAGCACAACCATTTATATTTCTGATATTTCCAGCATCCAGAGCATTATTGCACCTCTCCCAAGTAAACTGATTAATTCTTTTTCAGTTATAGGATCAAATCTATATTTAAAAGAATATATTTTAATAATTTTTATGATTAATGTTAACTCTAAATGGAAAACTTAAATATAAAAACATAAACATATACAACCA
Source organism: Homo sapiens (assembly GCF_000001405.40). NCBI lineage: Eukaryota > Metazoa > Chordata > Mammalia > Primates > Hominidae > Homo > Homo sapiens. The sequence goes on along the minus strand of NC_000004.12, from coordinate 91,468,637 downwards.
AAATTTGCAAAAAATCATCCTTATTTGTTGGATTACTAATAAAACATAACATTGTGATTGCTTCTTTTTATCAAAAAAAACTATTCCTATGGTTATAAATATTTTATTACCTCCATATTTTTCCTTTTTTTTTTAATTATATGTTAAGTTCTAGGGTACATGTGCACAAAGTGCAGGCTTATTACATATGTATACATGTGCCATGTTGGTGTGCTGCACCCATTAACTCATCATTTATATTAGGTATATCTCCTAATGCTATCCCTCTCCCCTCCCTGCACACCATGACAGGCCCAGGTGTGTCATGTTCCTGTTCCTGTGTCCAAGTGTTCTCATTGTTCAATTCCCACCTATGAGTGAGAACATGCAGTGTTTGGTTTTTTTGTCCTTGCGATAGTTTGCCAAGAATGATGGTTTCCAGCTTCATCCATGTCCCTAAAAAGGACATGAACTCTTCCTTTTTTATGGCTGCATAGTATTCCATGGAGTATATGTGCCACATATTCTTAATCCAGTCTATCACTGTTGGACATTTGGGTTGGTTCCAAGTCTTTGCTATTGTGAATAGTGCTGCAATAAACATATGTGTGTATGTGTCTTTATAGCAGCATGATTTATAATCCTTTGGGTATATACCCAGTAATAGGATGGCTGGGTCAAATGGCACTTCTAGTTCTAGATCCCTGAGGAATCGCCACACTGTCTTCCACAATGGTTGAAATAGTTTACAGTCCCACCAAAAGTGTAAAAGCATTCCTATTTCTCCACATCCTCTCCAGCACCTATTGTTTCCTGACTTTTTAATGATCACCATTCTAACTGGTGTGAGATGGTATCTCATTGTGGTTTTGATTTGCATTTCTCTGATGGCCAGTGATGATGAGCATGTTTTCATGTGACTGTTGGCTGCATACATGTCTTCTTTTGAGAAGTGTCTGTTCATATCCTTTGCCCACTTTTTGATGGGGTTGTTTGTTTTTTTCTTGTAAGTTTGTCTGAGTTCTTTGTAGACTCTGGATATTAGCCCTTTGTCAGATGAGTAGATTGCAAAAATTTTCTCCCATTCTGTAGGTTGCCTGTTCACTCTGATGGTAGTTTCTTTTGCTGTGCAGAAGCTCTTTAGTTTAATTAGATCCCATTTGTCTATTTTGGCATTTGTTGCCATTGCTTTTGGTTTTTTAGACATGAAGTTCTTGCCCATGCCTATGGCCTGAATGGTATTGCCTAGGATTTCTTCTAGAGTTTTTATGGTTTTAGGTCTAACATTGAAGTCTTTAATCCATCTTGAATTAATTTTTGTGTAAGGTGTAAGGAAGGGATCCAGTTTCAGCTTTCTACACATGGCTAGCCAGTTTTCCCAGTACCATTTATTAAATAGGGAATCCTTTCCCCATTTCTTGTTTTTGTCAGGTTTGTCAAAGATGGTTGTAGATGTGTGGTATTATTTCTGAGGGCTCTGTTCTGTTCCATTGGTCTATATCTCTGTTTTGGTACCAGTACCATGCTGTTTTGGTCACTGTAGCCTTGTAGTATAGTTTGAAGTCAGGTAGCATGATGCCTCCAGCTTTGTTCTTTTGGCTTAGGATTGTCTTGGCAATGTGGGCTCTTCTTTGGTTCCATATGAACTTTAAAGTAGTTTTTTTCTAATTCTGTGAAGAAAGTCATTGGTAGCTTGATGGCAATGGCATTGAATCTATAAATTACCTTGGGCAGTATGGCCATTTTCATGATATTGATTCCTCCTCTCCATGAGCATGGAATGTTCTTCCATTTGTTTGTGTCCTCTTTTATTTCCTTGAGCAGTGGTTTGTAGTTCTCCTTGAAGAGGTCCTTCACATCCCTTGTAAGTTGGATTCCTAGGTATTTTATTCTCTTTGAAGCAATTGTGAATGGGAGTTCACTTATGATTTGGCTCTCTGTTTGTCTCTTATTGGTGTATAGGAATGCTTGTGATTTTTGCACATTGATTTTGTATCCTGAGACTTTGCTGAAGTTGCTTATCAGCTTAAGGAGATTTTGGGCTGAGATGATGGGGTTTTCTAAATATGCCATCATGTCATCTGCAAAGAGGGACAATTTGACTTCCTCTTTTCCTAGTTGAATACCTATTATTTCTTTCTCTTGCCTGATTGCCCTGGCCAGAACTTCCAACCCTATGTTGAATAGGAGTGGTGAGAGAGGGCATCCCTGTCTTGTGCCAGTTTTCAAAGGGAATGCTTCCACTTTCTGCCCATTCAATATGATATTGGCTGTGGGTTTGTCACAAATAGCTCTTATTATTTTGAGTTACGTCCCATCAATACCTAATTTATTGAGAGTTTTTAGCATGAAGGGCTGTTGAATTTTGTCAAAGGCCTTTTCTTCATCTATTGAGATAATTATGTGGTTTTTGTCTTTGGTTCTGTTTATATGATGGATTACGTTTACTGATTTGCATATGTTGAACCAGCCTTGCATCCCAGGGATGAAGCCCATTTGATCATAATGGATAAGCTTTTTGACGTGCTCCCTGATTCAGTTTGCCAGTATTTTATTGAGGATTTTTGCATCAATGTTCATCAGGGATATTGGTCTAAAATTCTCTTTTTTTGCTGTGGCTCTGCCAGGCTTTGGTATCAGGATGATGCTGGCCTCATAAAATGAGTTAGGGAGGATCCCCTCTTTTTCTATGGATTGGAATAGTTTCAGAAAGAATGGTACCAGCTCCTCCTTGTACCTCTGGTAGAATTCGGCTGTGAATCCATCTGGTCCTGGACTTTTTTTGGTTGGTAGGCTCTTAATTATTGCCTAAATTTCAGAGCCTGTTAGTGGTATATTCAGGGATTCAGCTTCTTCCTGGTTTAGTCTTGGGAGGGTGTATGTGTCCAGGAATTTGTCCATTTCTTCCAGATTTTCTAGTTTATTTGTATAGAGGTGTTTATAGTATTCTCTGATGGTAGTTTGTATTTCTGTGGGATTGGTGGTGATATCCCCTTTATCATTTTTTATTGCATCTATTTGATTCTTCTCTCTTTTCTCCTTTACTAGTCTTGCTAGCAGTCTATCAATTTTGTTGATCTTTTCAAAAAACCAGCTCCTGGATTCACTGATTTTTTGAAGGGTTTTTTGTGTCTCTATCTCCTTCAGTTCTGCTCTGATCTTAGTTATTTCTTGCCTTCTGCTAGCTTTTGAATATGTTTGCTCTTGCTTCTCTAGTTCTTTTAATTGTGATGTTAGGGTGATTTTAGATCCCTCCTGCTTTCTCTTGTGGGCATTTAGTGCTATAAATTTCCCTCTACACACTGCTTTAAATGTGTCCCAGAGATTCTGATATGTTGTGTCCTTGTTCCCATTGATTTCAAAGAACATCTTTATTTCTGACTTCATTTCGTTATATACCCAGTAATCATTCAGGAGCAGGTTGTTCAGTTTCCATGTTGTTGAGGGGTTTTGAGTGAGTTTCTTAATCCTGAGTTCTAGTTTCATTGCACTGTCATCTGAGAGACAGTTTGTTATAATTTCTGTTCTTTTCCATTTGCTGAGGAGTGCTTTACTTCCGACTATGCGGTCAATTTTGGAATAAATGTGATGTGGTGCTGAGAAAAATGTATATTCTGTTGATTTGGGGTGGAGAGTTCTGTAGATGTCTATTCGGTCCACTTGGTGCAGAGCTGAGTTCAATTCCTGGATATCCTTGTTCACTTTCTGTCTCATTGATCTGTCTAATACTGACAGTGGGATGTTAAAGTCTCCCATTACTGTTGTGTGGGAGTCTAAGTCTCTTTGTAGGTCTCTAACGACTTGCTTTATGAATCTGGGTGTTCCTGTATTGGGTGCATATATATTTAGGATAGTTAGCTCTTTTTGTTGAATTGATCCCTTTACCATTATGTAATGGCCTTCTTTGTCTCTTTTGATCTTTGTTGGTTTAAAGTCTGTTTTACCAGGGACTAGGATTGCAAGTCCTGCCATTTTTTTGTTTTCCATTTGCTTGGGAGATCTTCCTCCATCCCTTTATTTTGAGCCTATGCGTGTCTCTGCATGTGAGATGGATTTCCTGAATACAGCACAGTGATGGGTCTTGATTCTTTATCTGATTTGCCAGTGTGTGTCTTTTAATTGGAGCATTTAGCCCATTTACATTTAAGGTTTATATTGTTATGTGTGAATTTGATCCTGTCATTACGATGTTAGCTGGTTATTTTGCTTGTCAGTTGATGCAGTTTCTTCTTAGCATCGATGGTCTTTATATTTTGGCATATTTTTGCAGTGGCTGGTACCGGTTGTTCCTTTGCATGTTTAGTGCTTCCTTTAGGAGCTCTTGTAGGGCAGGCCTTTTGGTGACAAAATCTCTCAGCATTTGCTTGTCTGTAAAGGATTTTACTTCTCCTTCACTTATGAAGCTTAGTTTGGCTGGATATGAAATTCTGGTTTGAAAATACTTTTCTTTAAAATGTTGAATATTGGCCCCCACTCTCTTCTGGCTTGTAGAGTTTCTGCTGAGAGATCCGCTGTTAGTTTGATGGGCTTCCCTATGTGGGTAACGTGACCTTTCTCACTGGCTGCCCTTAACATTTTTTCCTTTATTTCAACTTCAGTAAATCTGACAATTATGTGTCTTGGAGTTGCTCTTCTCGAGGAATATCTTTGTGGCATTCTCTGTATTTCCTGAATTTGAATGTTGGCCTGCCTTGCTAGGTTGGGGAAGTTCTCCTGGATAATATCCTGCAGAGTGTTTGCCAACTTGGTTCCATTCTCCCTGTTACTTTCAGGTACACCAATCAGACCTAGATTTGGTCTTTTCACATAGTCCCATATTTCTTGGAGGCTTTGTTCATTTCTTTTTACTCTTTTTTCTCTAAACTTCTCTTCCCACTTCATTTCATTCATTTGATCTTCAATCACTGATACCCTTTCTTCCCATTGATCGAATCAGCTTCTGAAGCTTGTGCATTAATCACGTAGCTCTCGTGCCATGGTTTTCAGCTCCATCAGGTCATTTAAGGACTTCTCTACACTGGTTATTCTAATTAGCCATTCGTCTAATCTTTTTTGAAGGTTTGTAGCTTCTTTGCGATGGGTTCGAACTTCCTCCTTTAGCTCAGAGAAGTTTGATCGTCTGACGCCTTCTCTCAACTCGTCAAAGTCATTCTCTGTCCACCTTTGTTCTGTTGCTGGTGAGGAGCTGCATTCCTTTGGAGGAGGAGAGGTGCTCTGATTTTTAGAATTTTCAGCTTTTTTGCTCTGTTTTTTCCCCATCTTTGTGGTTTTATCTACCTTTGGTCTTTGATGATGGTGACGTCCAGATGGGGTTTTGGTGTGGATGTCCTTTCTGTTTGTTAGTTTTCCTTCTAACAGTCAGCACCCTCAGCTGCAGGTCTGTTGAGTTTGCTGGAGGTCCACTCCAGACCCTGTTTGCCTGGGTATCAGCAGCGGAGGCTGCAGAACAGCGATTATTGCTGAACAGCAAATGTTGCTGCCTGATCATTCCTCTGGAAGCTTTGTCTCAGAGGGTTACTTGGCCATGTGGGGAGTCAGTCTACCTCTACTGGGGGGTGCCTCCCAGTTAGGCTACTCAGGGGGTCAGGGACCCACTTGAGGAGGCAGTCTGTCCGTTCTCATATCTCCAGCTGCATGCTGGGAGAACCACTACTCTCTTCAAAGCTGTCAGACCGGGACATTTAAGTCTGCAGAAGTTTCTGCTGCTTTTTGTTCGGCTATGCCCTGCCCCCAGAGGTGGAGTCTCAGAGGTAGGCAGGCCTCCTTGAGCAGAGGTGGGCTCTACCCAGTTCAAGCTTCCTGGCCACTTTGTTTACCTACTCAAGCCTCAGCAATTGCAGGCGCCCCTCCCCAAGCCTCACTGCTGCCTTGCAGTTCGATCTCTGACTGCTGTGCTAGCAATGAGCGAGGCTCCGTGGGTGTGGGACCCTCCGAGCCAGGCACAAGATATAATCTCCTGGTGTGCCATTTGCTAAGACCATTGGAAAAGCACAGTATTAGGGTGGGAGTGACCCAATTTTCCAAGTGCCGTCTGGCACCGCTTCCCTTGGCTAGGAAAGGGAATTCCTTGACCCCTTGCACTTCCCGGGTGAGGCGATGCCGTGCCCTGCTTTGGCTCACACTCGGTGGGCTGCCCCCACTGTCCTTCACCCACTGTCCAACAAACCCCAGTGAGATGAACCTGGTACCTCAGTTGGAAATGCAGAAATCACCCATCTTCTGCGTGGCTGACGCTAGGAGCTGTAGACTAGAGCTGTTCCTATTCGGCCATCTTGGAACCACCCTTCCCATATTTTCTTTTATTTCACAGAAATATTTATCAAAAATATAAAGTTTTAGAAGAGAGCTTCAATATCTGATACGTACAAAATATAATGACATATTTGCATAAAATATGAATAAAAAGGGATTTAAACTGTATGATAAGGAGGAAATTATTTCAGTTGAAAATTTTCTTTCAATCTCAGGGTGAAAATCTCATTTATTCAGGATTTTTGTTACTTCAGAATTCATGATTATTAAGGCAATAACTAATTGAAGATTACATTTATATAATCTCTGAAAAGTTTCACTCTTAAACATTTCCCCTTACATCTTTTTATCCCTTAATAAGATTGTACTTTTGTTTGAGTGAGCAGCAATAGGTCCCTGGAATTATAATTTATGATGAAACACATTAAATAGATAGTAAAAGAGCTCTTAATTTGCCCATAATGAATGTATTTTCACCAGTTACTTACTTCTCACTTGGTTTATTCCATAAATGGGCTATGGTCCTTAGTCAGAAAGAAGGATAGACTCCTACTGCTTAGTATGGATCTGCTACATGCCTGCTTAGAATATGTTCTTAATCATTTGTACAAAAATAGTTACTGAGAGATACCCTTTTGAACATTACTGTGCTAGGCTTTAGGGAACCCAGGAATAAACAAACTAAAATCTCTGACTCAAAGCTACTTTTCTATTCATAAATCAATCCAATAGGTATGCTACATTGTTTGAAGATAAAACAGCCATTTTACTAATAAAGAGCTCCACCGAAATCCATACAAGTATAGCTAATCCAAATGAGGGCTGGTGGTCAGGAACCTTAATACCACAGTGATAAAAGGACGTCCTGGTAAGGGGTTTGACAATGCACAGGGGTCATTTGTTGTCCCACAACTATACTTTTTTTTTCTTAATAAAGGATATATTTTACACACTCTAGACTAAACTACATGTGTGCAAATTCCATCTGTGCCACTTTGTACCTGTGTGGTCTTAGGTACTCTACTAACTTCTTTGTGTCTCAATTTTCTCACGTGTAAAATGGAATTCAATCAGTAATATCCTCACTAGTTTGTGGAGATTAATGAGATACTACAAATTCTAAGTAAAACATGGAGAATAATTTTTGAAACATGGCAAGTGCTTAATAAATTTTAGCTGTTATTATCATCATTGTCATTGTGGAGTGCTAAGAAAGTATTTCTGTGTTTTAGCCATAGACTGGCTAAATAAATTATGCCAAAAACTTGAGATCCTGGGCTATGAGCAAGTCTTTGGAAGTAAATTTACAACCATCTAGATAGTGAGAGAACTCAAAAGAGATTTACCTACCTCAGAGTGGTATGTGTTTCCATTTCAAGAGAAACTGAGACTCATGGTCTTGGAGACATCTCTAAAAGTCATAAAAGTCATAGAAGCCAGGGAAAATGGGATTTTTTTTATCCTTTGAGGGGATTTTCATTCCAAAGGTTAGAGTAAGAATAAATTTTCCTTTTCTTTCCATCCCCAAGGAATAGAAATTTTTCTCCCTCCTTTTGGGATTTGTGGTGAAAGCAACCATCCTTCTCTGTAGCATACAAGTAGATATAATGTATTTTCTTTCATCCTCACATTTATGGATGAAAGTGTAAGGCCACTCACAATAAGAGATTTTACCACCTGGCTTTCACGGTGTGCTCGAAGAGTAAACACTGGGGTGGAAGGGATCAACACAGTTGTTGATATGTAAATATTAATGATTAACTTGTCTCTGATCCAGTGCAAATTAAGGATAAGGTTAATACAGATGATTATTCCAAACCCAACAATTATCATCATCATCACCATCATCACCAAGACTCAGACTAGCTAGACTCTAGCTGGTAGATACACAAAAATTGTTTCTCTTCTTCCTGGGTACAGGGCTAGACTATATTTTCTAATCTTTGTGGCATATCGTTAGAGCCATCGGACTGAATTTTGACCAGTAGAACGAGGGCAAAGGGAATGTCACCTCCTGGACCTTAAAAGCTATTCCTCAATTCTCTGCATTATTTTCTCTTACCTCTTCTGCTGGCTGGATGCCGAAAATCCAACAAGAGACTTTGAAATCTGAGATGTTAATGGAGTCACTAGATAGAAGGAGCAGTACCCTAACCCATCCCTACGAATTATCAATATTCTTAGACGAAGGAAATAAACAGCTTTGTTTATTTAGAACACATGTAAATTTTTTTGTTTGCAAATTAAAGACAAATTACTGATTTTACTTTCAACTCTCCATGGAAGCTGGCCTTGATATTTACCACTCAGTCAAATGCTCCTGCAATGTGATCTTGCATTGCCTGATGCTTACTCTACCTTTGAGACTATGTGAAGAAGGGCTACATATTTCCCTTCAAAATGCTCTGCTTGCCACTGCCAGTGGCTGAGTTGCTATGATATTTCTATCTCTTAGGCTTTTTTCTTAGTCAATGGCTATCTCAAATAACAAGCAAGGTGAGGAGCTGTTTCTCATCATAGGAAAGTTATTATATTCAGGTGTAAAATAATCTAGTAAGCAAGTGAACAACAGAATTTTATAAACTGGAATAACTGCAGTTTTTGCAAAGTTAAAAATACTGATGGAGGAAAGAGTAGTCCTTGAAGTAGAATTCAATGTTAAGGCCACAGACATTTGAGCAAGATTTACTCTCTGGTATAGTGAAATTAGAAATTGTACACTGGTCTTAAAGACAGAGGTAGCAGAAGTAAGTCACCATTTTTTTTCCCAAGAACTTCTGATCATTCCTGGAGCCTGGCAGCCAATCAAATATGCTTCTCTAAATCTCTAAATATTCATCTTTGTATCTGTTATTTCATCTCCCTACCTTGGAGAGCCACGTATATCACAGCTCTTCGGTCTTGTTATCCTGTGTTACTTGGCAGTCTTCACATACCTGAAATTACTTTCCTCTGTCCTCTTGCTAGGTGGTAGGATGCTGGCTTAGGAATCAAACAATTTTATTTGTATCCATCTGCTCCCAGAAACACTCATGCCTATATACATATATATATATGCATGTATACAAACACATAACACATACACACTCACATTCCTAGTATGCATATTCCTAATGCTTCAATAATAATTATGCTCTATAACCTCTTAAGCCTCCCTTTCATACAACACTTATCAACAAATAACTAAATAATAAAAATAAATACAATTCTAACAGCTCATTATCCCCAGTGCTTCTTTTTCACTATAGAATTTCTGTTTTTAAAAAAAGACTTTGTAAACAAATTGTTATAAGTCACATTTTATGCACAGAATTTTTTGATTATTTAAAATTGATTTTTAATATGAAGGAAACATTATATATTGTGTCCCATAAGAACTCTTAGGGAAAAAAAACCCATAAGTTCCATTATCATAATATTTTGTTCCTACATTTGTTCAACAAATATTTATGATAACCTAAAGGATTCATCAAAAATAGGGAGAGGAGGTCATATATTTTTAAAATGCCACTATCACTGTGAGAAAAATCTCAAAACAAATTCAGTTAAGTTACAGGATACAAAATCATTGTACAAAAGTCAACAGCATTTCTATATGTTAACAGTGAACAACTGGAAAAATAAAAAACAATTCCATTTACAGTAGCTATAAAAATAACTAGAAATAAATTTAAGCAAATAAGTGCAAGATCTATACAATTAAAACTGTAAAGCACTGATGAAAGAAATTGAAGAGGACAAGAAATGGAAAGATATTCCATGTTCATGGGCTAAAAGAATTAATATTGCCCATACCACCCAAAGTGATCTACAGATTCAGTACAACTCTTATCAAAATACCAATGACATTCTTCACAGAAAAAGAAAAATAATTGCAAAATTTCTGCGGAACCACAAAAGACCCACATAGCCAAATGAATCCTGAGCAAAAAGAACAAACCTGGAGGCATCTCACTACCTGACTTCAAAATATACTACAAAGCTATAGTTCCCAAAACAGCATGCATGGTACTGTATAAAGATAGACACATAGACCAATGGAAGAGAAGAGAGAACCCAGAGAGAAATCCACATATTTACAGCCAACTCATTTTCAACAAAGGAACCAAGAACATACATTGCTCTTGTATGGGGGGAAAGGACATTGGGGAAGAGTCTCTTTAATAAGTAGTGCTGGTAAAATTAGACATCCATATGCAGAAGGATGAAAGTACACCCCTATCTCTCTATATATACAAAAACAAACTCAAGATGGATTAAAGACTTAGACTCAAAACTATAAAACTTCTAAAAGAAAAAAATTGGAGAACTACTTCAGGACATTGGTCCAGGCAAAGATTTCTTGAGAAAGACCTCAAAAGCATGGCTACTAAAGCTAAAGCATGGCATTCTAGAATATACATAACTATATAAAGCCATTATTGCATTATATAGTTAAATATTCATTGAAAATAACACATCAGTTCATAGTCTGACATCATATATCATACACTTGTATCTAATATAATTTCATATCAAATTTCAGTTTAGCTATTTCAAAGAACTTATGAATTAATGTGTTACCATTCTTTAATATCAGTACATTTTAGATGATAAAGCTTGCCTACAGAAAAAATTACACTTTTTGATTGGAAGAGAGGTAAAAAAGTAATCAATGATTATTTTAAAATTAACATGTTAAAAATTGTAATACAAAAAAATCTCAAGTAAAACAATTATTTTATTTTATGTTTTTTTTCAATAGGATCTCACTCTGTTGCCCAAGATTGAGTGCAGTGGCACAATCACAGCTCACTTCAGCCTCGACCTCCTGGTATCAAGCAATCTTCCAGCTTCACCCTCTCAAGTAGCTGAGACTAAAGGCATGCGCCACCACACATGACTAATTATTTTTTTTATTTTTTTGTAGAGATGGGGTCTTGCTATGTTGCCCGGGCTGATCTCAAATTCCTGGCTCAAGTGATCTCCTGTCTTGGGGTCCCAAAGTGTAGGGAGTACAGGCATGAGCCACCAAACCTAGCCAATTAAAATTTTAAAGAAAATGTCTTCTGGGTTGAAACTAAACAAAAATAGGAGTTGAAGATATTCTTGAACTAGGATAATCAAGTTAGAAAAAAATTGTACAATGTTAAAACATGTATTTTCAGGCAAAATAAACTATAGTACTGATTAAATATATGTGTATAATTTACTCATGTTCTTTACAGTAAACTAGAGAAATAATATGAATATCAGTTGATATTTAGATGTGGTGGGATAAAAATGGGAGACGTGTAGCCATTCTTTAGGAAAAGGTAAATTTGGGAAACTGCAAATATCAGATAAAGATAAAAATATTAAAACACATGGATTGTATGTTCCTTTCAATGCTATGCACATAGTAGCTACTCAACGAATACTTCCTAAATTAAATAATTCTTATTTTAATTTTAGCACAGGGATTATGATACAGGTATATGACACGAAAGAATTACTCAGGCCAATAAATAATTCAATTAATAAAATGGCATTTTTATAAAGTAAATGGACAGCAATGGAAAATTTAATTTATCCAGATTGGCAAACAAGATAACATTTATTAGATTCAATAAAAATATCAGTATTAGTATTTTAGTGGGTCTGGTTCCTGACCAACTTAAGTATATTCCTGAAACAACAAAGGTAAATAATATCAGAGCTACAATTTATAAAAACAGAAAGTATGAGTGGTAACTTTCACCTGGTAACTTGGAATTGTTTGACTTGGAATAAGTAAAATGATAGAAATACTGCTTGAAGTGGTGAAATAGGATTTTTTAAAATTCTATTTTCAGAATGACTACTTCAATACATGAAAAAAACTTAAAAAAAGAGAACAGAATGGCAAATATGGCTTTCAAGTTGAAAAATACAGTTAGAAAGTGCATAACAAGCATTTAAGAAAGTACATTAAAAGATATAGTTGGCAATATCACTCTAGCCATTTCTCCTTTGAAATGTCCCTTTTCTGTTCCATCTGCCTACCTCTTTTTCATTTATTCATTTAACCCTTGCAAGGGACTGAGCATTTGAGTCCCTCCAAAATTTAGATGTTGAAACCCTAGCCCCTCTGTGATAGTATTTGGAAATGAGACCTTTGGGAGGTAATTAGGTCATGAGGGCAGAGACCTCATGAAAGGGAATACTGTCCTTATGAAATGAGGCCCAAGAAATAGTTATCTGTCTTTTCACCATGCAAGGACACAAGATGAGGTCAGCAATCTGCAACCCACAGGAGAACCCTCTCCAGGAACTGACCAGGCTGGAACTCAGACTTCTAACCTCCAGAACTGGGAGAAATAAATTTCTCACAGGTTTACAAGACACCTAGTTCATAAAATTCTGTGGTAGCAGCCCAAACTGACTAAGACAATCATGATTCAGATTCTCATTATCTTAGGTCAGAATTACAGAGATGACTTTTCCAGTTTACCTCCTTGTCTCTGAATTCCCCTTCACTATGCATTCTTAACAAGGTTTGCAGACAAAATTTTCCCTCGACTTTAAAGATCTCAATAACGTGAGCCATTCCTGTGCATATACAACTTTCCCCCATTCCTCCACATACACACATCTTTACTCTCATCAAATTCCTGTCTAATATCCTAATATTCTACCCAATCCAATTGCTTCCAAATATTTGTTCTGCAATTATATTTCAGGCATAGTGCTGGGAGTTTCAACTCCAAAGAAAAGGCATAATCACGCCTTCAGTCTGGTTGGGGGCGTCTTAGTCCATCCAGCCTGCTTTAACAAATTCCTTAGACTGGGTAGTATATGAAAAACAGAAATCTATTTCTCATAATTCTGGAGGCTGGGAAGTCCAAGAAGGAGGTTCCAGTATATACGGTGTCTAATGAGGCCTTGCTGTCTGTTTCCTAGATGGTGCCTTATTGCTGCATTCTCACATGTCAGAAGAAGCAAGAACACTCCATTCAATCTCTTTTATAAGAGCACTAATCTCAATCCTATTCCTGATGCTAGGGCCCTCATGATTTAATCATTTTCCAAAAGACCCCACCTGTTAATGCTATCATATTGTATACTGAGTTCCAAAAATATGAATTTTTGAGAGAAAAGAATATTCAGACCATAGCAAGGAGAAACATAAATGACTACAGCACAGTACATACCCTGACAGAATGAGGGGACACCTAATTCAGTTTTCCATAAGTCAGATCCCAGGATAGGTGACACAGGAACTTTCTATTACCTCCACTCATTGTGTTATTTTCACTTGGAATGTTTTCTCTCTTTCCCTCCATGAAATTTTATTAAACTCAAATATTTTGTGAGTAACCTAGATATATTTGCTTCCTTTTATATACAAAACATGATCCAGCAATTACATTTTACTTTTTTTAGAAGTTGGAAAAAATAGAAATCACTGGCAAATAGTCTCCTTAAAATTAGAATTTAAACAAATGAAGAAATTCAGAAAATTACTATTCCAGTTGAAACTGCCACTGGTGACAAATATAACTGTGAACATTTCAAAATCGAGATGCTAAAAGGGTTAGAACAAGGGAATTTTCTGTGTCTACTATGGCTAAGATTTCATCAGCTTCTCGGGGAGTCGATTTTGGGAAATTAACACCAGACAGAACACCTTAATTAGATGTTGTTAGTTGACACATATATAAATATACTTAGATAGACTCTTGAATAAACTGTTACAGTGCCAACTTAGTAATTTACAATTAATAGCTTCCTTTTAAAAAATTAAATAAGATCCTGAGTTAACAAGCTGTTTCAGACATTATAATAGGCTGAATAAAATGTCCCCTCAAAATATCCAGAACTTAATCCCTAACACCTGTAAATGTTAACTTTTTGGCAAAAGGAAGTTTGCCAAAAAGATTAGATTAAGTTAAAGATCCAGAGATGGGGAGATTATCCTGGATTATCCAGGTGGGTCCTAAATGTAATCTGTGTGTGTCCTTATAAGTAGAAGGTGGAGGGAAATTTGACCGCAGAGGCAGAAAACAATGTGACTACTAAATAAAAATGAGATACTGCTGGCTTTAAAGATGGGGGAAGGGGTCACGAGCACAAAATGCAAAGAATGCAGATCTAGGAGCTGGAGAAGCCAAGGGAACTGATTCTCTCCTCAGAGCCTTTGTAGGGCGACCAGCCCTGCAGTCATACTGATTTTTCCCCAATGAAACTGATTTCAGACTTCTGATTTCCAGAACTGTAAGAGAATAAACGTGTATTGTTTTAAGCCAGAAAGTGTGTGACAATGTTTTACAACAGCCATAGAAAACCAATGCAAACACTATTAAAAATAGTTCCATGTTCTTGATTACCTCTGAACGTTAAACCATGTATATGAAAGTTCTGGAGCTCATAGATGTCAGGTTAAGAAACACTTAATATAGAATGCTGTTCTAGTGATATTTATTCCTGTTGACATCTGTGAGACACTGTAAACATACCTCATTACAATACTAGACACAAAGAATGTGCTCATTAATTATTTGATTATTTTCTTCCATTCACACATCCACTTGTGTATCCAGGAGTTATTCCTTTCATAAATGGCCTATCACCAGATGAAAATATGTGATATAATGATAAAGCCACATATATTTTCCTTTATATAATTTCTTCTGTTTCTTCCAAGCCTAGTATAGACTCACCTCACTATGCTAGAAAATCAGCTATAGATTCAGCTAAGATATAGAACACCTGCCAGATATGCTTGGGTTCTTCGGAGGATATTGCTGAGCAGGTAGGCAAAGGTGAAGTAGTGACTGCAATTTATCGGGAATAGATAGAAAACTCAGTACACATCATTGATTTTACATGCTCCAAAGGCTTAGGTTTAAAAGTCAGTATGCCTGGCAAGGAAGAGGTGGCAAGACATTTAAATGGATGTAAAATTTTCTTTAGGAGAAAAGTGCTCTGGAAAAAGTAAACATTTGTAACAGAGAAATAAAAAGGGGCCACTCAATTTCACAGGAAGCAGTCTTGAGAGACCCTCTGTGGCCTGAGATACAAATGACCTGGCTGACGGGAGAATTCAAAATACAATGGGGCAAAACAAATCACCTATAAAATGAACATGGTGACTTTCTCAAGCAGACAGTGTTATAAGTTTGATTGACTTGTTTCTGCCTTTCCTAATTTGCAGAACACTAATTTCACCAAGAAAAGACATAAAACTCCAAATGCTAGAAAGTATAAGGATAGTTATTTACAAAATTTACAGAATCACCATGAACTACTACCAAACAAAACTCTAAATGACCAAATGATAATGTATAAATCATAACCTATAGTGGGCTCAAATCCCTTACTTTGCTAGTTAAATAAATTAGACAATTTGAAACCCAGTGAAGTGACAGGTAATAAAATGAGGTAACTTCATTTAAAAGAGAGTAATACAAATATTTCTCAAAATATAGAGTATACTTGATATGCGAAGTCTTGAGGATTATTTGAACAATGAAATCTTTACTGCCATTCGGCAACAGTTACCAAGGTTTAGTGATCTTATTTTCCATAACTAAGGACAATGTAAGGCAGAGATTTCATTTGCAGGAAAATGAGCTAGAAAAAAATCTTATTAGGAATGCTCTTCAGCTTCAACTGCAACCAAAGAGCTCAACAGTGCTTGTCAAGAACAAAGTGAGGTCTCCAGTCTTTATTAGCTTTACAGGTCAAACATTGAACTTGCTGTGACTAAGAAATTAAGGAATTCATTCAGTTGTTTTAAGATGTATGAATTTCATTTTCCATCTTTAGCTTCTATAGTATCTCAGCACATTTGGAAGACAATGTGCAGTTATTTACCCTTTTCTGTTATCACTTTGGCTGTATCATTTCTGGAAATGTTCTCAAAGGAGTGACAAAGACATACATTTAGATTTGCTTGACATATGTGCTTTGCCAGTCAACACCAATATGAGTGTTTTTTAGTATTTCTGGTACTCTACAAATGACAAGTAGTGTACCCAATACAAATTAGCCTTATTAAGACAAAACCACATAAAAGGCAATGCTTACCTGCCATTGCCTCTGACTCTTACAGTCACGTGGAGTCCATGGAGTTCAGAAAATTTTGTAAAATGTTTTCAAAAGGCTTGAGTTACAAGTTCAAATTATTTCACAGGCTAGGTTCATGGGATCTGTGACAAGATGATGATATGCTCTACTTGAAGACATTTAAATTTAACTTTAATTGTACTGGCAAAAGAGAGGATGTCTGTGTGTCAATTTTGCCCTATGACTATGGATTATCATTTCTGAGACTCCTGCCATAGAAGTTACTTTCCAGGATTTGTTGAAAACATCTAAGCCTACACTTCATAATGAGATGTAAATACTTACTATCCAGACATCATAGTGTATATAGAGCATGTTCTGATGCAAACCCTTAAAAATGAAATAGAGATAAGTCTTCAGGAACACAACTAAGATATTGTTGGCCCAGTCCAGAGTACCTTTTTGGATCACATTGGACCAGCTCAACCCAGGCTAATCAGAAATGTTTACTTCTCGATAATGGTAATGCTTATTACTAATACTTAATATGAAACTGGGACTTTGCATTTTTACTTAAATTACTTACTACTAAAGTTTTATTTTTAAATTCTATAATATTTTATTCTACAGTGTCTAATCTGCTATTAATTCCACCCAAGTATTTTTTTATCTCAAACATTGTATTTTTCAGCTTTAGAAATTAAATTTGGGTGCATATTGTATGTTACATGCAGAATTTTTCAACATGCTCATGATTTCCTCCTTCTTTTTGGTTATTTGGAGAATACAGTGGCTCTTTTAATGCTCTTGTTTGCTTATTCTATTATTTGTCATTTCTGGATGTTTCTATTGATTGGTTATTCTCCTTATTATTATTCCTGGTCTTCTACTTCTTTGAATGTTCAACAATTTTTTATTGAAGTGTGTCTGGGTGCTGGACTTTTTTCTTTAAGAGAGTAATCCTTTAAATATTTTTCAAATTTACTTTAGTTTGCAACTAAGCTAGTTGGAAATAGTATGATGCTTTTAAAATGAGCTTTTAAAATTCATTAGGCCCATAGCAGCCTTTACTTCTAGGACTAATTTGGTCCCATGCCACAGTCTTAATGTTTGAAGCCCTTAAATTTTCATATGTTGAAATTATAACCCCCAAGGTAATGGTATCAGGAGGTGGGATGTTTTGGAAGCTGATTAATTAGGTCATGAGCATAAGGCCTCATGAATGGGATTTTTGATTTTATAAAGTAAGCCCAAACAAGCTGGGGTTCCCCTTTTCTTCTATGTGAGGATACAGCTAGAAGGTACCATCTTTGAACTAGAAAACTCACATTCACCGGACACTGAATCTGCCAGTGCTTTGATTTTGGCTTCCCAGCCTCCAGAAATGTGAGAAACAAATTCTGTTGTTCATAGGTCACTCAGTCTATTGTATTTCTTATAGTATCCCTAACAGACTAAGAAATGACCCTTTTGCCTGATGTTTCATGTATTACAACTTTTTTCCCATCCTGGCTTTTTGGATTGTGAATTACTCCTAGCCCTGTCTGAGCTCTGATAATTGTGTCACCCATTTCTTTCCCATGACATTTTTTTAGCATTGAGTAGTTTCTCACAGAAATGCTGATTAGTACCGAACTGAAGACCGGAGTGAAGTCCTCAGCAGACCTCTGAGCTCTCTTGTGCAATTCTCTCATCTCACTTGCACTGCCTCATCAATTACAGCCACCTTAACTAACTCCCCAAATACTCTGTCTCCTCAATGAAGGAGATAACTGAGCTCTGTTTAGGTTCCTTCTCTCTGAACTTCAGCCTGGAAACTCTGCAGACAGCAAGCCAGGACAATTGTAGGGCCCATCTCGTTTGTTTCTCCTCACTCCAAGATTACTATACTGTGACACCTATAGTCCGATGTGTGAAACCTGTTGTTTTATATATTGTATCAAGATTTTTAGTTGTTTAGGGCTACAGAGTAAATTTGGAAGCCATGATTCCAGATAAATGGAAGTCCTTCCTAAGGTTTTATAGTTGATAAAGGTAAGTACTTCCTGAGGTTTTATAATCAGATGTCTCATTAAGTCATGCTTGTTTTGATGGTTTTTTTTCCCATGAATGAATAATTCTCTGCTCTGTGTTTCTAAACAATGCTTTCTAAGAAATTCATGATCGTCGGTATGTGAGGAGGAAATATAGGACGTTTTGAGTAGAAGAGTCTCTCCCTAGTAGGACTGGGAAGTAAGACAATTCTCTTGCACAGCATGACGACCCATCCTGTATAAAAACAAATCTCCAGCCATTGTGAGGCTTTGTTTCAGCATATAACTTGCCCTGTGTAGTACCCAGTTCATAGCAATGTAGCAAATAAATAAATCACATATGCAGATTAGAACTTGGTTACTCAGTCTGAGAAGAACAAAACATAAAATGAAATAAAAAATGGTTAACTCATGATCTCTAAATGTAACACTGCCATATTGAAACTACTTTCAATTCAACTCCTCAAAATGAGAAAGATTTGAGAACATTAAAAAGTTATATACTTTATTCAGCTTTATTCAGTTAACAGTGACCAATTCTATCTTTTTCCAAAAAGGCAGATGAATCTTTTCAAGAATTCATAAAATTTCAACAAACTTAAAATTTTAATCACTTTTTAGTCCCTAAATACAAAACAATTAACGAAAAATAATTAATTTAAATAAATAATTTTAAGCATATTAGGGACTGAAAAGTGATTAAAATTTCACAGTATCATAATCTTGGAGTGAGGAGAACCAAATGAGGTCCGCCCTACAATTGCCCTGGCTTGCTGTCTGCAGAATTTCCATGGTGAAGTTCAGAGAGAAGGAACCTAAACAGAGCTCAGTTATCTTCCTGTATTATTACAAATTTGTAATCATTTTAAATTTTTATTTTACTGGAGAGAGAGGTGTCTACTGAGCACCAAAAAAAATGACACAATTTAAACTGTCTAAATGTCTTATGATGCCAAATGATTCAGATTCATTTGGATTTCATATATCAAATTTTTAACTTCAAAATTAGGTGTCAACCTGGGACTCTCAATTACCACCACTTTTCTCATTTTTTTTACTCAATGAAATCTTTATCATAGACCAACCCTAATTAGTGGACTAATGTTTTGAAAAATATTACCACATCTGCTTCAGGAGCATAGAGGAGTGAGTGACTCATTCTGTGGTGAGAGCAGCTTCTCAGGAGAGTAACGTCTATCTCTCTGGCATGAGGAATAATTTACATAAAGCAAATCATCCTGACCTCTCGAGGGTTTTGTATTTGCTTTTCTCTTTCTGAATTCTTTCTACAGGTTTCTACATGGCCCACTCCCTTCCATCTTACAAGTCTCTACATGTATGTGACATTAGTAGTGAGTCTTTCCCTGACCACCCCATGTAAAACAGTAAACCATACCTACCCCCTACCCCATCACTATTCTTATTCCCTCTTATTTGTTTCAAAACTCTTATCACTGTCTATAGTTCTGTATATTCACTTGTAATTCCTTTGTTGTCTGCCTCTCCCTACTAGAATGCAAGTTCTGCAAGGGCAGTAACTTCATGCATTTTTTTCCCCTGTTGTATTACCAGTTCCTACAATGATACATAAACATTTGTTGAATGAATAAATTAATTAAGCACACAAGATTAATTAATCTTGGCACATAATATATGGCATATCATAAATGTTCAGTAAAATTGTGAACAACTTTTTATCATCATAATAATCATTATTAGCTTTATTTTATTATGGTAAAACGCCAAATTATTCCAAGGACCCTGAATTTTTGCATGGATACATGGATATCAGATAAAAATATAGAAACACTCTTAACACTCAAAATAAGCAACTCTATCTAAGACCACACACTGAATGAGTTAGGATTATTTCAAATAACACCTTCAGGTAACATTATCTATCCAAATATGTAATTGGTTGTTTTTGATAAATATGTTTTAAGCAATTTGAACTATTATTTAAGTAATTAAATGGTTTATTGAGCTAAGATATTTTATTGAATGAAATTCCCTGAGTTACACAATCAAGCTTCATACATTTAAAGAAGAACAGGAGAATTTACAGAAAGTGTGAAGAATAATGTGTGTGTGCTGAAAATTAAATTTATAGAAAAGCAAGAACAGAGAAATTAGTCTGTCAAATAGAAATATTTGAAAATTTGAAAGACAAACATTAATATAAGTTGATAATACTAAAAGGAAAGGTAGAGCATTAATACAAAATGAGACCGATTAATTTGGACCAGAATGCAGAGAATGATCCAATTTCAATTCATGCTTTTATCCTCAGGTAGATCATTGCCTTATGAAGTAGCAACTTGCCTATGTAAAACTTTGCTAAATTACATTACTCAACTCTTACACTGAAAGTAATATGAACACTCACATAAACATCTAAAATAATGCAAATAAAACATAATATACACTTAATAAGCACCACTTTTTATGGACCACTCTTTATGAGACAATAGGAGAAAAAATTAAAGACACAAGCATGCTGTCAAAAGGCTCAAAATCTGAAAGATTCACACATGTAGACAAATAAGTATATTTCACTATGATAAGTACTGTATTACTGTACTTTCTAGACTTTAAATGTCTTGGGCCAGTGCAATCTTAATTTCAAAAAAATTAAACAAAAATGGGGCTGTCAACTTGCTTTCTAGCATTACTGCATAAAGTATATACTATTAGACCATCAATCATAGTAGAAAAACAGTATCATCATTAAGTAAAATATCTTATTAAATTTATTTAACTTCATGGAAAACTAATTTTTCTGTCCTTATTTTTTAAATAATTCAAATTTCATTACAAACTGACATATCATTGTTTTCAGCAACATTGCTATAATAGTAGTGTGATAGGTACATGGAGAAGGAAGTGATTTGTTCAATTCTGGGAGCAGCTCCACAGGAGGGAGACATTTGAACCACCAATCAAGATGAGGAATAAAGGAGAAATAGCAGGTTTAGGGGGGAGTGTAAGATAATAAGTGACAAAGCCAACACTATAAAGGGTGACAGGACAAGGAACAAAAGACAAGGAGCACTAGTCATTGACAGAAGAAAAGGGGAGAATCAACTATAAAGAGTAAAAGGAGAGAAAAGGCATTATGTTCTATGACACGAAGCAGACAACCTCTGGCACTGCAATATTATGTGTAACCTCAAAAGTCACTGGACTTCTTAATACTCTGTAACTCTCTCTTTGGAGCCTCAAGAGATTTCCTTAGCAAGCTTAAGACGCCTAAACTCAGGAAAATGAATGGAAGTTAGGAAGAGCTAAGAAAGCCCCTGATGCCACATGTCAAGCATTGGTTGACACCCCATGTCCCTGTGCTAAAGCCACACCAAGTGATATGGTCCAGCTACCCTTAACTTAGGGAAAGGAGACATTTACTTCCTATAACACTCCATCTCCATTCACAGTTTTAACTAAACCAAATCAAGAAAAAAGTACCCCGAATTCAAGAAGAAATTCAATATATTGCCAAATATGTTTTATAATAAATACCTGCTGTAGACATCATAACCGCAAAGCTGAAATAACCTAAATATCTAATAAGAAAATATTTTATACAGATATTCATCATAAAACTGTATTGTCAAATATTTTCCAGAATATAAAAATATTTAAAAATAATATCAAGTAAAAAGGATGCAGGACTATTATATATATATATATATTTATTTATTTAAAATATATATTTGTATAAAATATTCATTACATAGACATTACATATTCATTACTACATACAAAGATGCACACACACACACACACACAAAGAATAGAAAGAAAAATAGCAGAATATCAGTTGTTATGTATTCATCTGGGGTTACAGACTTTTAAAAATGTCGTTTTAAAATTTATTGAATTTTGAAAGTTTCCATAATGAATATGCATAATATTTGTAACAGAAAAACAGTATAGTATTTCTAGAGCACACTCTGCCAATACGTAAATCTTCTGACATGTAAATGGTTAATTCTCACTGTATAGAAAACTTGGTAGTTCAAAATGTCTAAAGTGATGACCTTTTACTTAATTTATGAATAAATAATTGTTTTCTTATAACCAATGTATTCTTGCTTTTGGCCACTGCTTGATGTGACTTAGTCTGCTAAAATCCTATCCTTATCATCTGGCAAAAAAGTATGAGGAATAAAACTTTTTAAAATTATACTTTCCCTCAAAAACAAAAAAGCAAACAATGAAGGCACGACCTTCACACTGTTCTTACTAGGCATTAAAACAATACACAATAAAACATTACAAAAGCAAAACAAAGTCAGAATGAAACACTTCTTCCCACTCAAACTATACAACAATTATTCACTTGTTTTTCTTATTTATAATATATATTCTAAGCACTTCAAAAATAATAGTCATTTCTTAAGTGTAATTATCAGTATTAAGAATCAATTCTATTCTAAATCTTTTATGGAAATGCAGGGTGGCAGATGCAGAATTTACACAGACCAGATAAAGAAAAAAAAACCCACTATTTTTGAAGAGGTATCCAATCAAAGACAGTAGAGTGTTATTATGACATCACTGTGCTTTATTCTTCTCCAACTTGGGCCAATTTTTTTGTTAATAGAAGGTACCTTTGCAAATTTGGGGGTAATATATGTTAAATGGATGGTGGATAGTTAGATTGAAAGATAAATGATAGAGAGAAGCTATGGATAGATGACAGGGATATAAATAGAGAGATAAAAACAAATAGATTGGATGTAAAGTGAAAGAAATGGTGGGGGTGAGAAAGTGAGAGAGAATGATAACGAATACATCAGTATTTGGTCTCTACATTTTCATAAAATCAAAAATATATAATCTCTACTGTCAACATTTCTCTTATTCATCATAACTCCCATGCCAGTCCACTGTGACCGCTTGGGAGAAAGTGTCTTTGCTATTGGGTGGCAGAGAGAGAGGAAAAGATGGCTAAAATGAGAAAAAAAAAAAAAAAGGAATTACTATTTCTTACTATAGTTGGCCAAATATCTCTCTTTTTATCTCCCAATACAAAAACTGTTGCAAAATACAAGTAAAATTCATAGCAATACCACCATATAATAAAATAATAAAAATAGATGAAATATCTTAAAATTTTCAAGTCATAAAATAATTCTTGAAAGGGTTTTGCACAGCAGCAGGCAAGAAAAGCCCTACAGGAATTATTTTGTGTTGAAGCAAAGGGGAGATTGTTATTATCTTCTAAAAGTTACCTCAGAGGCAGAAAAGCCCTAGACCAAGTATGAAGCAAATGAGGGAAAAAATAGTTTTTAAAGAATTTATACTCACATTTTCAGGAACATCTTTACAGTATAATGTAGACACATTTGTATCTTTGCTTTTAACAACACACTCTCTTTCCTGTAATAGCAGGATTTATACCAAAGTACATCCTGAAGCACAGCACACTGAAGTGAATGGAATGTTTAGCCATAGTGTGAGGAAGGCCACTGAATTTTAGTAATTGACCTCACCAATAAATTGAGAGCTACTACTGATTAAAGCAAGCAAGGACAACAAACTACAAATATATAAACGTTTTCACCATCATCTGACATTTCACTCACAGTGGTCCATTAGCTTGAAGAAGCAAGAGGCTGGGTGTGGTGGTTAACACCTGTGATCCCAGCACTTTGGGAGGCCAAGGTGGGCTGGTCACCTGAGGTCAGGAGTTTGAGACCAGCCTGGCCAACATGGTGAAACTTCATCTCTACTAAAAATGCAAAAATTAACCAGGTGTGGTGGTGGGCGCCTGTAATCCCAGCTACTCAGGAGGCCGAGGCAGGAGGATCGCTTGAACCCAGGAGGTGGAAGTTGCAGTGAGCCGAGATGGTGCCATTGCACTCCAGCCTGGGTGATAGAGGGAGACTCTGTCTCAAAAAAAAAGCAAAAGAATTGGCACTTTAAAAAAAATGATTTGTGCTCAGTGTGTTCGTGAATCTTGCATCACTTTGCTTTCCTATTATTGATGATTACATCATTAGACATTTTATTTTAGAAAACTTGTATAAAATATGCAGTAGTAAGTTTATATCAAAGAATATGCTCTACTGGACAATTAAATAATTTAGCTTATGCTCCTTGTTCTAAGTGGCTACCAAGCTTTTCACATTGTTGAATACTCAGATTCTCATGTTCTCAGGTTTTTATTTTTAACTCTAGTGACAGAAAAGATGCCATTTGAAGACTAAGGAAAATATCTAAGTATATGTGATCGCACCCCATCAATAAATCATACCATTAAATAATATTCCTGTGTATTATATGTATACATTAATTGAAAAAACCTAATAAAAGTTGAATGAGACAAAATGTATCACAAGCAATTCTTTTGTTTTCTTCTCCTTGGAAATCCATTCTGAAGCCAGGACATATAATTTCAGTAAGTAGCTCTCCTCAGATTCAATAAGGGTATTATTAAGTTTATTCTTACTAATTTTAGGAAGAATTCCACTATACACTTCTTCAAGTATTTGGACAAATAAATTATTCTGAATTGTTAAATATCTATATAATTGGATGGTTATCTAATCAAGTGTGAATAAAAATCCCATTTTTCTTTTTATCTGAAATGAATTATATATATTATATAATACATATTTATATATATATACATATAGTTTTCTCTATACTTAATTTTTTTCTGATCGCTAATATTATTTTCTTTTATTTTATTATTATTTTATTATTATTATACTTTAAGTTTTAGGGTACACGTGCACAATGTGAAGGTTAGTTACATATGTATACATGTGCCATGCTGGTGTGCTGCACCCATTAACTCATCATTTAGCATTAGGTATATCTCCTAATGCTATCCCTCCCCCTCCCCCCACCCCACAACAGTCCCCAGAGTGTGATGTTCCCCTTCCTGTGTCCATGTGTTCTCATTGTTCAATTCCCACATATGAGTGAGAACATGCAGTGTTTGGTTTTTTGTCCTTGCGATAGTTTACTGAGAATGATGATTTCCAGTTTCAAAGTTTACTGAGAATGATGATTTCCAGTTTCATCCATGTCTCTACAAAGCACATGAACTCATCATTTTTTATGGCTGCATAGTATTCCATGGTGTATATGTGCCACATTTTCTTAATCCAGTCTATCACTGTTGGACATTTGGGTTGGTTCCAAGTCTTTGCTATTATGAATAGTGCCGCAATAAACATATGTGTGCATGTGTCTTTATAGCAGCATGATTTATAGTCCTTTGGGTATATACCCAGTAATGGGATGGCTGGGTCAAATGGTATTTCTAGTTCTAGATCCCTGAGGAATCACCACACTGACTTCCACAATGGTTGAAATAGTTTACAGTCCCACCAACAGTGTAAAAGTGTTCCTGTTTCTCCACATCCTCTCCAGCACCTGTTGTTTCCTGACTTTTTAATGATTGCCATTCTAACTGGTGTGAGATGGTATCTCACTGCGGTTTTGATTTGCATTTCTCTGACGGCCAGTGATGGTGAGCAGTTTTTCATGTGTTTTTTGGCTGCATAAATGTCTTCTTTTTAGAAGTGTCTGTTCATGTCCTTTGCCCACTTTTTGATGGGGTTGTTTGTTTTTTTCTTGTAAATTTGTTTGAGTTCATTGTAGATTCTGGATATTAGCCCTTTGTCAGATGGGTAGGTTGCGAAAATTTTCTCCCATTTTGTAGGTTGCCTGTTCACTCTGATGGTAGTTTCTTTTGCTGTGCAGAAGCTCTTTAGTTTAATTAGATCCCATTTGTCAATTTTGGCTTTTGTTGCCATTGCTTTTGGTGTTTTAGACATGAAGTCCTTGCCCATGCCTATGTCCTGAATGGTAATGCCTAGGTTTTCTTCTAGGGTTTTTATGGTTTTAGGTCTAACGTTTAAGTCTTTAATCCATCTTGAATTAATTTTTGTATAAGGTGTAAGGAAGGCATCCAGTTTCAGCTTTCTACATATGGCTAGCCAGTTTTCCCAGCACCATTTATTAAATAGCGAATCCTTTCCCCATTGCTTGTTTTTGTCAGGTTTGTCAAAGATCAGATGGTGGTAGATATGCGGCATTATTTCTGAGGGCTCTGTTCTGTTCCATTGATCTATATCTCTGTTTTGGTACCAGTACCATGCTGTTTTGGTTACCGTAGCCTTGTAGAATAGTTTGAAGTCAGGTAGCGTGATGCCTCCAGCTTTGTTCTTTTGGCTTAGGATTGACTTGGCGATGTGGGCTCTTTTTTGGTTCCATATGAACTTTAAAGTAGTTTTTTCCAATTCTGTGAAGAAAGTCATTGGTAGCTTGATGGGGATGGCATTGAATCTATAAATTACCTTGGGCAGTATGGTCATTTTCATGATATTGATTCTTCCTATCCATGAGCATGGAATGTTCTTCCATTTGTTTGTATTCTCTTTTATTTCCTTGAGCAGTGGTTTGTAGTTCTCCTTGAAGAGGTCCTTCACATCCCTTGTAAGTTGGATTCCTAGGTATTTTATTCTCTTTGAAGCAATTGTGAATGGGAGCTCACTCATAATTTGGCACTCTGTGTGTCTGTTATTGGTGTATAAGAATGCTTGTGATTTTTGCACATTGATTTTGTATCCTGAGACTTTGCTGAAGTTGCTTATCAGCTTAAGGAGATTTTGGGCTGAGACAATGGGGTTTTCTAGATATACAGTCATGTCATCTGCAAACAGGGACAATTTGACTTCCTCTTTTCCTAATTGAATACCCTTTATTTCCTTCTCCTGCCTAACTGCCCTGACCAGAACTTCCAACACTATGTGGAATAGGAGTGGTGAGAGAAGGCATCCCTGTCTTGTGCCAGTTTTCAAAGGGAATGCTTCCAGTTTTTGCCCATTCAGTATGATATTGGCTGTGAGTTTGTCATAGATAGCTCTTATTATTTTGAGTTATGTCCCATCAATACCTAATTTATTGAGAATTTTTAGCATGAAGGGTTGTTGAATTTTGTCAAAGGCCTTTTCTGCATCTATTGAGATAATCATGTGGTTTTTGTCTTTGGTTCTGTTTATATGCTGGGTTACATTTATTGTTTTGTGTATATTGAACCAGCCTTGCATCCCAGGGATGAAGCCCACTTGATCATGGTGGATAAGCTTTTTGATGTGCTGCTGGATTCGGTTTGCCAGTATTTTATTGAGGATTTTTGTATCAATGTTCATCAAGGATATTGGTCTAAAACTCTCTTTTTTGGTTGTGTCTCTGCCTGGCTTTGGTATAAGGATGATCCTGGCCTCATAAAATGAGTTAGGGAGGATTCCCTCTTTTTCTATTGATTGGAATAGTTTCAGAAGGAATGGTACCAGTTCCTCCTTGTACCTCTGGTAGAATTCGGCTGTGAATCCATCTGGTCCTGGACTCTTTTTGGTTGGTAAGCTATTGATTATTGCCACAATTTCAGATCCTGTTATTGGTCTATTCAGAGATTCAACTTCTTCCTGGTTTAGTCTTGGGAGGGTGTATGTGTCGAGGAATTTATCCATTTCTTCTAGATTTTCTAGTTTACTTGCATAGAGGTGTTTGTAGTATTGTCTGATGGTAGTTTGTATTTCTGTGGGATTGGTGGTGATATGCCCTTTATCATTTTTTATTGCATCTATTTGATTCTTCTCTCTTTTCTTCTTTATTAGTCTTGCTAGTGGTCTATCAATGTTGTTGATCCTTTCAAAAAAACAGCTCCTGGATTCATTAATTTTTTGAAGGGTTTTTTGTGTCTCTATTTCCTTCAGTTCTGCTCTGATTTTAGTTATTTCTTGCCTTCTCCTAGCTTTTGAATGTGTTTGCTGTTGCTTCTCTAGTTCTTTTAATTGTGATGTTAGGCTGTCGATTTTAGATATTTCCTGCTTTCTCTTGTGGGCATTTAGTGCTATAAATTTCCCTCTACACACTGCTTTGAACGTGTCCCAGAGATTCTGGTATGTTGTATCTTTCTTTGTTCTCATTGGTTTCAAAGAACATCTTTATTTCTGCCTTCATTTCGTTACGTACCCAGTAGTCATTCAGGAGCAGATTGTTCAGTTTCCATGTAGTTGAGCGGTTTTGAGTGAGTTTCTTAATCCTCAGTTCTAGTTTGATTGCACTGTGGTCTGAGAGACAGTTTGTTCTAATTTCTGTTCTTTTATGTTTGCTGAGGAGAGTTTTACCTCCAACTATGTGGTCTATTTTGGAATAGGCATGGTGTGCTGCTGAAAAAAATGTATATTCTGTTGATTTGGGGTGGAGAGTTCTGTAGATGTCTATTAGGTCCACTTGGTGCAGAGCTGAGTTCAATTCCTGGGTATCCTTGTTAACTTTCTGTCTCGTTGATCTGTCTAATGTTGACAGTGGGGTGTTAAAATCTCCCATTATTATTGCGTGGGAGTCTAAGTCTCTCTGTAGGTCACTCAGGACTTGCTTTATGAATCTGGGTGCTCCTGTATTGGGTGCATATATATTTAGGATAGTTAGTTCTTCTTGTTGTAGTGATCCCTTTACCATTATGTAATGGCCTTCTTTGTCTCTTTTGATCTTTGTTGGTTTAAAGTCTGTTTTATCCAAGACTAGGATTGCAACCCCTGCCTTTTTTTTGTTTTCCATTTGCTTGGTAGATCTTCCTCCATCCTTTTATTTTGAGCCTATGTGTGTCTCTGCACGTGAGATGGGTTTCCTGAATACAGCACACTGATGGGTCTTGACTCTTTATCCAATTTGCCAGTCTGTGTCTTTTAATTGGAGCATTTAGTCCCTTTACATTTAAAGTTAATATTGTTATGTGTGAATTTGATCCTGGTTATTTTGCTTGTTAGTTGATGCAGTTTCTTCCTAGTCTCGATGGTCTTTACAATTTGGCGTGATTTTGCAGTGGCTGGTACTGGTTGTTCCTTTCCATGTTTAGTGCTTCCTTCAGGAGCTCTTTTAGGGCAGGCCTGGTGGTGACAAAGTCTCTCAGCATTTGCTTGTCTGTAAAGGATTTTATTTCTCTTGCACTTATGAAGCTTAGTTTGGTTGGATATGAAATTCTGGGTTGAAAATTCTTTTCTTTAAGAATGTTGAATATTGGCCCCCACTCTCTTCTGGCTTGTAGAGTTTCTGCCGAGAGATCCGCTGTTAGTCTGATGGGCTTCCCTTTGGG
The DNA here is from genome assembly GCF_000001405.40 of Homo sapiens. Lineage (NCBI taxonomy): Eukaryota > Metazoa > Chordata > Mammalia > Primates > Hominidae > Homo > Homo sapiens. The sequence goes on along the minus strand of NC_000004.12, from coordinate 91,439,246 downwards.
GGTAACCCGACCTTTCTCTCTGGCTGCCCTTAACATTTTTTCCTTCATTTCAACTTTGGTGAATCTGACAATTATGTGTCTTGGAGTTGCTCTTCTCGAGGAGTATCTTTGTGGCGTTCTCTGTATTTCCTGAATTTGAATGTTGGCGTGCCTTGCTAGATTGGGGAAGTTCTCCTGGATAATATCCTGCAGAGTGTTTTCCAACTTGGTTCCATTCTCCCCGTCACTTTCAGGTACACCAATGAGACATAGGTTTGGTCCTTTCACATAGTCCCATATTTCTTGGAGGATTTGTTCATTTCTTTTTATTCTTTTTTCTCTAAACTTCCCTTCTTGCTTCATTTCGTTCATTTCATCTTCCATCACTGATACCCTTTCTTCCAGTTGATCGCATTGGCTCCTGAGCCTTCTGCATTCTTCACGTAGTTCTCGAGCCTTGGTGTTCAGCTCCATCAGCTCCTTTAAGCACTTCTCTGTATTGGTTATTCTAGTTATACATTTGTCTAAATTTTTTTGAAAGTTTTACTTCTTTGTCTTTGGTTTGAATTTCCTCCTGTAGCTCAGAGTAGTTTGATCATCTGAAGCCTTCTTCTCTCAACTTGTCAAAGTCATTCTCCATCCAGCTTTGTTCCGTTGCTGGTGATGAATTATGTTCCTTTGGAGGAGGAGAGGCGCTCTGCTTTTTAGAGTATCCAGTTTTTCTGCTCTGTTTTTTCCCCATCTTTGTGGTTTTATCTACTTTTGGTCTTTGATGATGGTGATGTACAGATGGGTTTTTGGTGTGGATGTCCTTTCTGTTTGTTAGTTTTCCTTCTAACAGACAGGACCCTCAGCTGCAGGTCTGTTGGAGTTTGCTAGAGGTCCACTCCAGACCCTGTTTGCCTGGGTGACAGCAGTGGTGGCTGCAGAACCGCAGATTTTCATGAACCGCGAATGCTGCTGTCTGATCATTCCTCTAGAAGTTTTGTCTCAGAAGAGTACCCGGCCGTGTGAGGTGTCAGTCTGCCCCTACTGGGGGGTGCCTCCCAGTTAGGCTGCTCAGGGGTCAGGGGTCAGGGACCCACTTGAGGAGGTAGTCTGCCCATTCTCAGATCTCCGGCTGTGTGCTGGGAGAACCACTGCTCTCTTCAAAGCTGTCAGACAGGGACATTTAAGTCTGCAGAGGTTACTGCTGTCTTTTTGTTTGTCTGTGCCCTGCCCCCAGAGGTGGAGCCTACAGAGGCAGGCAGGCCTCCTTGAGCTGTGGTGGGCTCCACCCAGTTCGAGCTTCCTGGCTGCTTTGTTTACCTAAGCAAGCCTGGGCAATGGCGGGCGCCCCTCCCCCTGCCTCGCTGCTGCCTTGCAGTTTGATCTCAGACTGCTGTGCTAGCAATCAGCAAGACTCTGTGGGCGTAGGACCCTCCAAACCAGGTGCGAGATATAATCTCCTGGTGTGCCATTTTTTAAGCCCTTTGTAAAAGCGGAGTATTAGGGTGGGAGTGACCCGATTTTCCAGGTGCCATCTGTCACCCCTTTCTTTGACTAGGGAAGGGAACTCCCTGACCCCTTGCGCTTCCTGAGTGAGGCAATGCCTCGCCCTGCTTCGGCTGGCGCAGGGTGCGCTGCACCCACTGTCCTGCGCCCACTGTCTGGCACTCCCTAGTGAGATGAACCCAGTACCTCAGATGGAAATGCAGAAATCACCCGTCTTCTGCATCGCTCACGCTGGGAGCTGTAGACCGGAGCTGTTCCTATTCGGCCATCTTGGCTGCCCTCATATTAATTATTTTAAACATCCATTCTGAGATCGTGAGGCTCTGGAGGTCCATTTATTATTAGAGCTGTTTGATCTATAATTACGTAGCTGCAAATTGCAGAATAGCGCCTCAATATTTTTCTTGTTTTATGACATTATGTGTAGTCCATACATGTTTTCCTCCCACAACAGTTCAAATTCCTTTATGGTCAAATAAACTGCCTTCTGAACAAACATGCTTCCCCCAGGGTATGAGATATACTTAATCCCTAGTCAATACCCTAGTATTCTGATATCTTTAGATATGCACCAAAAATACAAGTTTTATTTTTGGCCCAGTTAATCTGACATTTATTTCTCATATTTTCCTTTCTCTCTGAAAGTCTGAATCTTAATTTAAATGCAAAGGCAAGGACACTAAGCATGGCCTCTTCAGTTTCTTTAGTTCCAGGGCTTTGATAATTCATGTGTTACCCACCTGACTTAGCAGGCAAATATGATCTCAGCAGGCCTTCACTCACACCTTATGTGCAATTGCCAGGAAGACAGGTAACACATGAAAGTAGGAAGTCCCTAGGCACCAAGGACATTTTCATACAACTTTATCTTAATTGGCTTTTGGTTATTTTCAATAAATACTTTTGGAAATTCTTTTCTGGATGTTTGAGACATTGTGCTTTTTGTCCTGCTCTGTCTCTGACTAGACTTTCTCTGTGGCTTTGACTTCTTTTCCTAATTTAGATCCATCTGTGGCTTGGCTATCTCTCTGTTTCCCTAGCTGAGCTCCACTCATGGTTTCACTATTGGAAGACAACATGGTGTAGCAGAAATAGCCTTGATCTTAAAGAAATAATTTAACCTGTCTAAGTCTCATTTTCTCATTTACCTCCCCACACGATTATTAACATTGGCAGCATTATGTATACTGTAAATCTATGTAGCTGCCTAAATAAATCTCCATTTCTATGTCTTGAAGCAGAATCTCTAATAATTCAAAACTGAAGTCATCGACTTTCTCATACTTTCTATCACCTTCAAAAATTAACTCTCATTGAGGCAAGATTGATTAGAGAAAATTTTTGGAGAAAAATTTACTTGATCTTGGTGTTTAAGTGATTCCTATTTCCTTTCTTCATAAGTTCTTAGGCAAAACATCATAAATATCAGTACATTTATTGAAAGCTTGCTATATGCCATGTAGTACTCTGTGTGATTTATATATATTACCTTAATTTAAAATCCTACCAAACAGAAACAAAACTTTGAGGAACTGAAATAAATCCAATGTGCCTAGATCACAGAAAGTAAGAGGGAAGATGGCATAAAATAGAAAGTCTTATTAGGTTGGTGCAAAAGTAATTGTGGTTCTTGACATCGAAAGTAACAGCAAAAACCACAATAATGTTTGAACCAACCTAATAATATAATGTAACTACAGTGATATAATTAATCTACCTTCAATGATGAAAATTGATTGCAGGGAGCCACAAATGGATGGGCAGAGACCAGAAAAAAGAGTATTGCTCAAATACAGCTAATCCAAGGAGCTTTCTTCTACTGCTTTGGCATGTTTATGTCAGTTACTTATGATGTTGCGTTCCAGTTGTAATCACATAAGCACAGTTTTGTACAACATAGTGGTTTGATTCAAATGAAAGTAAGACAAAAAGCAAATTATAGGCTGGGCTCAAAACTATGAACTCCAAATGAAAGTTGAATTGTTTTACATGAAAGCATGCCAAAATAATTAGTGGAGATATCTCAAATAAAGCTTTAAATGGTATAAATACCTTAATTTACTTTCTTGTGTCTAATTAAAATTGTTAGCATAAATACTTCCCAGTAGTTCATAAGTTTTCAAAAAATATATAAAAGAACTACATATAAATTCCTGTAATTTAATACTACACATGCTTTAAGAAGCATGAGAGATAGATGGTGCCGAAATCTTTTCTAACAATCTTCTAACTCTCAGACGATGAAAAGTAAGAGAAAGCAATTTATTTTTGAGTATTTAAAGCAAGTTTGCATTTTGAATTTTCTAAATGTTTAGATACATTTTTTTTTTTTTGAGACAGGGTCTCACTCTGTCACTCAGGCTGGAGTGCAGTGGCATGATCACGAATCTCTGCAGCCGTGATCTCATGGGCTCAGGTTATCCTCCCACCTCAGCCTCCAGAGTAGCTGAGAGTACAGACACAGCCACCACTCCCAGCTAACTTTTAAATATTTTTTGTAGAGACAGAGTTTCATCATCTTGTCTACGCTGGTCTCAAACTCCAGGACTCAAGTGATTCTCCCACCTCAGCCTCCCAAAGTGCTTGGGATCACAGGCATGGGCCACTACACCCAGCCTAGACACTTTTGTTATACATGAAATACCATGGAAAGTGTTAGATAAGCATTGTTGCACTAACAAGAAAATGTGCAGCTGCTGCCACCAAACCTTGATATTGCCCATGTACATGCCAGCAGGTAAATTCATTAAACATCATGGAACATAGACAAAACAAACAAACAACAACAACAACAACAGAACTCTACGGCCATGTTAGGAAGAAACTATTTTGAAAAGTGCTCTAAATAAATTTCAAACTAAAAAGTAAAGAATATAGACTCATAAAACTATCTGATGTCATCATCATTGGACTATGTCTTTCACCAGGACCCTGAGCCAAGGGGAATCTTGGAATGGCTCCTGACCTAAGAGGACAAGTTGTAAAGAAAATCCTTGGCTCATTTGTATCATAGGAATATGTATGGCAAGTTCAGATTTAGGTCAATACTCTTAGTCTCTATTATATTCTGTAAAATAACTGCTATTGAGAAATATTTATGAGATAAAATAGATAAAACAGAAAAAACTGCCATCAATCTTCATACCAGTTATGGAAAGCTGTGGATATTCTTACTATGCATAATTACATTCAGGAGTGAAAAACAAACAAAAAATTATTTTATTAAGATATTGAATTGGTAAGCTTACACCCTTTCATTTTTAAACTTCTCTAAGAGGACACCCTATCTCATTTTTTACCCGTATTGCTTTTGTTAGGCTTCTGCTGTTCTAAATAATATCTGTTTTTTAAAAAAACAACAAAGTATTTTATGGCTTCTCTGTAACTTTGAACGTGTTCTTTTAGACCTGGATCCTTCCCATCAATTTTCTGCCTATTGAGTTGCTACGCCGTTTTTCCATATTCTAATTACGAACATAACCTATTCCACAAGATATTCCTAAATTAAGTACCCCTATTTTAACATTCCCCTACTACCAAAAATACCAGCGATTCCACAAATAAACAAAAAAAAAACAAACAAAAAGTCTGTAGCAGTTAAAACAAACCATTACAATAGTTTGCTTCCCTTTTTCTGCTATGACTTTTATTCCTTCTGAATATTTTGTGCAGCCGGAGTACCATAATTCAAGACTGTGTGCTCAGTTGATAAGTCTCCCTCCAGAAGTCGCCCTCAGACAGAGTCAGGAGCTCCTTCCTCAAGCGGTCTCAATGCCTTGTCCCTATTAGTGTTACTTCTCAGAACCTATACTATGATTATTTGCTTAAACATGTGTCTTTCCAGGTAGACTTAGTTTACAGTGTGAGGTACTGTGATAAACACTGATTTATTATTTAGTAAGTAGATGCTTAAGTGTCTACCATTTTCTAGGCTCTGAGCTAGACTCTTGGGACACTTTGATAAACAAGACAGACATACAGTCATGCATCATCTAACAACACAGACACGTGGTTAGGTGATTTCATTGTTGTGCACATATCATAAGATGTACTTACACAAACCTAGATGGACTGTGGCATACCTATGCTCTATGGTACAGCCCATTGCTTCTAGGCTACAAACCCGTACAGCAGTTATTGTACTGAATACTGCAGGCAATTTTAACAGAATACTGTAACACATGGTAAATGTTTATGTATCCAAACATATGTCTATATTTTAAAAAGGAAACTAAAAATGAGAGAATGAAAGATAAAAAATGGTACACCTGTGTAGGGAGGGCATTTGCCTTGTTTGGAGGTTGCAGTACTGGAAGCTGCCTTGGGCGAGTCAGTGAATGAGTGCTGAGTGACGGTGAAGGCCTAGGAAATTACTGTACACTACTGTAGACTTTATAAACACTGTACGCTTAGGCTACACTTTATTAAGAAATAAAGCAGTTGTGCTATGACGTTATGATGGCCACAGTGTCACTAGGTGATAAGAATTTTTCAGCCCCATTATAATTTTACAGGACCACCCACAGACAATATATAGTTTGTCATTGACTGAAATGTTGTTACATGGCACACGACTATACTTTCTAAATCTCACGGAGCTTAATGGGGTCTGAAAGAGAAGAATTGCTAATCAAATTTTCATTCATATAACTAAAAATTATAACTGGTAATCAATATAATAAAGAGTAAATTAATGTGGCTTATATATTATTATATCACTTATTTTATTCAACCTAGTATTTCTCAGTCATTTTCACATTGATTACCCCCAAATACCTCTCTGGGCAGGGAGGTATTGATAATAGCAACTGATATAGTACCTCATACATACTCGTATTAGATCCATAATACACATTTCTTTACTTTCACACTATCAGAGTGGGAGAAGCCTTTCCAAAACCAAAACTTAATAAAACAAAATATAACTTAAATAACATAAAAATTAAAAATGACTACAATCAACTTTTTTAAAACGGGAAATATAGAAGTTCTATTACTACAAAGAGCTAATTTCCCTAATGTATAAACCTCCTAAAAATCAGTAACACAATACAAAAATCCAGTAGTAAAAAAGAAAAGTTCACATAAAGGAATATATGTCCCTTTTATGATTATAAAATAAGCTCAATTTCATTTATTATTAGAGAGGTGCAAATAAATCTACATAGAGATATTTTTTTCACCTACCAGTTAATAAAAGTATGGAAGTTTGATAGCATATTCTCTAGATGAGGGTATAGGAAACAGACACTCTCATAAAATGCTAGTACATTGTAAATTGTTTTAAGCCTGATACAGAAAACGTTGTCTGTATCTATTGAAATAAATCTATATATTTATTGAATATGCAAATCCTCTTCATGGAATTTATTCTATAGAAATACATACACACATCGAGAGTTATTCATTATAGTATTATTTGTACTATAATTCTATTCACAGATGTCTATAAATAGGTGTTTAATTAAATTAATTATTGTAGTAGTCCATTATCACACTGCTATAAAGAACTAATTGAGACTGGATAATCTATAGAGAAAAGAGGTTTAATTGACTCACAGTTCCACACAGCTAGGGAGGCCTCAGGAAACTTACAATCACAGAGGAAGGCAAAGAAGAAGCAAGAACCTTCTTTACAAGGCAGCAAGAGGGGGTGGATGGGGAACTGCTACAAACTTTGAAACCACCAGATCTCACCAGAACTCCCTCACTATCATGAGAACAGCATAGGGGAACTGCCCTGGTGATCCAATCACCTCCCACCAGGTCCCTCCCTCGACAAGTGAGGATTATAATTCGAGATGAGATTTGGTGGGGACACAGAGCCAAACCATATCAATTATGTTGCATCTATACAATGGAAAAAGTATGCAGCAGTGAACCAACAATAAAGAAAAAAAAAACCTGTGAACTAATTTAGAAAAATCTAAAACATATATCCTTAATTAAAATAACAAGGTGTTAGACAATTGTATAGAATGCTTCGATTTAGATAAAAATGGGAAGAGGCCGGGCTTGGTGACTCATGCCTGTAATTCCAGCACTTTGGGAGGCCGAGGCAGACAGATCACCTGAGGTCGGGAGTTTGAGAACAGCCTGACCAACATGGGGAAACCCCATTTCTACTAAAAATACAAAATTAGCCTGGCGTGGTGGTGCATGCCCGTAATCCCAGCTACTCGGGAGGCTGAGGCAGGAGAATCGCTTGAACCTGGGAGGCAGAGGTTGCCGTGAGCCAAGATCGCACCATTGCACTCCAGCCCGGGCAACAAGAGCGAAACCCCATCCACCGCCCCCCGAAAAAAAAGGGAAGAAATGCTGTGTATGTATATGTGTGAAAACACTCTCTTTAGAAGTATACCTAGAAAACTAATAACAATAGTTTCTAAAATTGAATTAACTGGGTAGCTGGGAAAAAATAGTGAAGGAAAAGCATTTCACAGTTTATAGTTTTATTTTTCCAAATTTGAGCTCTGTGAATGTATTAGCTAGCCAATTTTTTATGTTTGTTTTTGTTGTTGTTGTTGTTGCTGTTTTTGAGATGGAGTCTCGCTCTGTTGCCCAGACTGGAGTGCATTGGCGCCATCTCCGCTCACTCTAAGTTCCGCCTCCCGGGTTCACGCCATTCTCCTGCCTCAGCCTGCCGAGTAGCTGGGACTACAGGCGCCCGCCACCACGCCCAGCTAACTTTTTGTATTTTTAGTAGAGACGGGGTTTCACCGTGTTAGCCAGGATGGTCTTGAACTCCTGACCTCGTTATCCGCCCACCTCCGCCTCCCAAAATGCTGGGATTACAGGCGTGAGCCACCACGCCCGGCCAAGCTAGCCAAATTTTTATTTACAAAAGGCTTATATACAATAAAACAGATTGTTTACATGAATGAAAGAACCAATAAAACGCTAGAGGATTTCCATCATTAATAGGTTTAGCACTTGACTAAAAAGTCGTGGTATGTAGATGTACAAAAGCACACTCATAAAAGTGTAGAAAAGAATCAGAGTTTGCATTCATTTGAGAAGCTAAAGAAGTAGGAAAAGAAATATGTAGTACATTCATATAATCGAACATTTCTAAAATGGTTTTCAACTTAGCCGAATGATATTCTTTGTTTTGCCATGTGTCCATTTCATAATGTTTTCTTTTTTTGGAAAACAATCATATTTCAAAGGTAAGTCAATTGAGAACTAAATAACACCTTTAATATTCTTTCAGCAATAAATTGGGTGCTTGTTACCTTTATGTATCAGCAAATAAAATCTTAACAAAGTAAAAATAGTTGTGCCCATGCACACATGTGCATACTGGTGCATTGTAAGCAAAATAATCAATAGTTTAACTGGGAAGTCAGCACAGGTTAGAATGAAGTCAATATTCAGATTTCACATAGTCTGTAGTAAAGTAAATTTAAAATCTAATACGTTTCAAATAATACACATACCCTATGCAATAAAAACTGTTTTTACAATATTTCTAAGAGAAAAATGTCCACTATATTCACACACAGGCACAAGTTTAAACACAATGACTGAAATACTATGGTATACCATTGTAATAGCTTTTTTCCCCCTATTCTTTTGAATGCTTATTGTATATAATTTTATGTGAAAATACTTATGTTCTGAACATATATACCAAGTATCCCAACCAAGATATTTTAAGAGGATTTGAATGATAAATTATGTCTTTCTAGTCTCAATTATTTTCCAACATAAGATGTATTTGTAAAATACATGAGATATAAACAATGAAAGCTAAAAATTTTTTAAAGTGTTACACAATGCTATAAACACATTGCTAGTGAAGTGAAAATATAGAAATGAGGCATAGGTTGTATGTCTCAGATCTATCTAGTCTGTTTAATATAGATAGTTTTATAATGATAAAAATTTTCTAGTATAGAATATACTTATCTTAATTAACTTTTAAAGCATGCTAAAGGAAAAAAACACGTAACTGAGATTATAGACAATAGAATTACATTCAATAGTACTTAATATATTTTCAGATGAAAATATAATAAAATTCTTATGCTTGAGATTTTACTCATGACAACATGAGTGTAAGACAGGTTAATTTAAGTATATTTATCGTGTGCATAAATATCAGTAAAGTTTGTGGCCTTATTAACAAAAATCAACAAAAACCTAGTAATTAAGAATTTTGCTTTCATATGTTTGCTTCAAAATGTTTACAGATTTTTACTTTCTCACTCTTGCTTTCTTAATCTACACTGTGATACTGTATTGATCTAAATAAATAGTATATTTAGGTGAATAAATAATAAAATGGTAACAGAATTGGGCACGTAATGGGTTCTTAACAAATGTTTATTTTGGTGTCAAGTGACTTTTTATGTACTTTTAAAAACAAATAAGGTTAATAGCTAAATATTATAGTGTAGTACCTGTTTTCTTTAAAAAAGATTATTGTTCCATCATATATTATTCTGCAAGATGCATTTGAACGTACTTAAATTGAAAGAGAAATAGATATAGATATCAAAAACGATCAGTCAAGAACATCTGAAATTATGTCTCTGAAAGACCAAAACAGAATCTAAAATTCTTAAGGGAGAAATAAGGTAGGATTAGTACATAATATTGACATTTTATTCTGTGATGGCATAAAAATGAAATAATAGCTTGAAAAGAAAAAGTATTATGATAATAGAAGAACTAATATTATCAAAAACTCTTTAATTTGATACAAGATAAATCAATGCTGTATTTATTCCTGCCTTGGAGGGGTAATATGTTTCCCTCAGAACTATCCTTTTGCCTTTAATCTTTTCATAATTGATAAGCATAAGGAAGACCTCAGAAACCTGCAGGAAACTTGGCACATATAAATAGATATAAACAGGAAGATGTTGATTGCAGCATTGTTTGCATTTCTAAAGATTTTGAAAAATAATAGACAGACAATAGAGTGATGATTAATAAAGTACTTTTCATTCGATTGAATTTCAAACAATACTAAAATGCAATAATGTATCAAAAGGAGAGAATTACACATTATCAATACCTATAAATCTAAGAAACAAGTGAAAACAGTAAGGAACAGAAACTGTACCTACGAATACTTAAAAGAATATATTATTCATAATTACACACAGGGCATGAAAGGTGGTTGGAAATAAACAACTAGAGAGTCTGATGAAAAATCTGAAAATGGGAGTAGAGAAAGAAAATCAAGTTGGGACTGCACCTAGACCATCCAGTGATGATGTACTACGATCTCAGTAGTCCAATCACTCTCTGAAGATCATAGTCTTATTTTAAACTCTAACATTCTAATTAGTAATTGATGCCAATTTTAGGATGCTTTATTTTCCAAAAGCAAGGCAACTGCATTTGCCATATTATAAAGACCCAAATTTGTTCACATGTCCACTGCATTTTGAATAAATGTTGTCCATAAAAAGTGACAAAGGAATCTAGACAATTGTGTTTAACTCAATTTCATTACAGAAATATACAATGTGTACAATTATATTTTAGTTTCTTAAAATTCAATACCAAACTGAAAGCAATATTGCTTATGAAAAGCCATAAAGATAGAATATTGTAAGTGGATGGATGATAATTTTTATGTGGCTGTAAAATGCTATAGCCAAGATTGAGCGCTGTGGAAATCTGTTTTATTAGTCTATTTTTTATAACAAGATAAACAAAATCTTATCAGGTGTCAAGTATTACCAAATTCAATTTCATTAGAAAATAATGAAACAGAAATTCAAGTTGGATTGAAAATGAGTGTAGAATCACTTTTATACCCTTTCAAGATGTGAATCACCTGCAGAGCAATTGGGACTTTGTATTAGGAGCTAAATAAAAGCTATATCCCTGGACTAAGCATGGTATTTATATTTATACACAAAGACATTTAATCAAGCATATTAAAAGCATACTAACAGAATCATTTAAATCTCACCAGATCATTTAAAATTCCATGTCAGTTATTTTAAATTAAGTTCCCTTAGTAATAAACTCCATGACAAACAGTCATTTGCAATTGGGTCAAATTTTATAGTAAATACAATTATTATATTATTTTATAAGAATAATGGCTAATATTTCTTGAATGTGCACTAGCTAGTTAAGTTAATCCTCACAACCATTCTGTAAAATAGATTATTTTCATCTCAGTTTCACAGTGGTAAAAGTAGAGATTCAGTAAATTGGTAACTTCATCAGTGAAGCTGGCCCTCTGCCTACAAAGCCTGCATTTTTTTCTCCATTGTATATCCTAAACTCATCTAAAATATGCTTAGAACTCATTCAGTCTAATGGGATTGTTTACAGATAGAAAAACTGAATCCTTGAATGGCTGGGTAACTTACTCATGATCGTACAAGTTTGTAATTCTTGACATACAATCCCACTGAAAGGTAAGCTTTTGAAAAGAGCACCTAACATGATGTTATATATTACATGAATCACACTTTGAGAAAAGTGACTAATACTTTCCAGGATAAGACAGCAGGATGGGCCGTGGGGAAATTTTATTTACTTTGTACCTATCCCCTTGGAGCAATCAATGTGTCCCATCTGAAAAGTGCTACTTTAAAGTGTGTAAGGCTGTTAAATAAATGTGGTGGTGGTGATGTTCTTCATTCACAGAAAAACAACCTTAAACTTCTATCTTCCTTATCTGTTTTCCATTTGAATGAAGATGGTTAGCATGGTGATTAAGAGCCTGGATTCTGGAACTAGCTGCTAGAGTTGAATACCATTAATCCATCATTATTCTATGATGTTAGGACAGTCACCTTACTATACTGTGCCCTAGCTCCTCACCTAGAAAATGGGGATGGTAACAGCATCTACTTATAGGATTATAGTGAGCTTTAAATGAGTTATCTGAATCACTTATATGAGTGTCTGACTCATAGGGTTCAATAAATATAACATGCTTAGTACCCAGCATATAGTAAGCATTCTAAAAGTTGGAATCATTTTTTTATATAAATTTAAAGTCTGTTTTACTTTTCAAAATTGTTTTTAGAAGACTATTAAGTATCCAAAATTTACATACAAATATGCAAACACACAAATCAGAAATTAAAAGTCAACAAGAAACATTTAGGATTCAATTAAAAATACTCTTAAAATTGCACACATTTTATCATATAGGTTTCAAATTGAAATTGTATTAAATACAATAGACTAAGTTTTTTTAAAATTCTGAATATTTCTGTGTAAAATTTCATTCTGAAGTTTCTTGACCTTTCATGAGTCAATCCACTACTTTTCTTTTTTTTTTTAAATCGTGGTCATGTAAATCAGTTCAACCATTGTGGAAGACAGTGTGGAGATTCCTCAAGGATCTAGAACTAGAAATACCATTTGATCCAGCAATCCCATTGCTGGGTGTATACTCAAAGGATTATAAATCAATCTACTATAAAGACATATGTGCACGTATGTTTATTGCAGCACTATTCACAATAACGAAGACTTGGAACCAACCCAAATGTCCATCAATAATAGATTGGTTAAAGAAAATGTGGCACATAAACACCATGGAATACTATGCAGCCATAAAAAAGGATGAGTTCATGTCCTTTGCAGGGACATGGATGAAGTCAGAAACCATCATTCTCAGCAAACTATCACAAGAACAGAAAACCAAACACCGCATGTGCTCACTCATAGTGGGAGTTGAACAATGAGAACACATGGACATAGGAAGGGGAACATCACACATCGGGGCCTATTGGGATGTGGGGGGCTAGGGAAGGGATAACATTAGGAGGAATACCTAATGTAGGTGATGGGTTGATGGGTGCAGCAAACCACCATGGCACGTGTATACCTATGTAACAAAACTGCACATTCTGCACATGTATACCAGTCTTAAAGTATAATTTTAAAAATTGTGGTAGGAACCCTGAACATAAGATCTATCCTCAACAAAATGTAAGGTATACAATACAGTGTTGTTAACTATAAACATAATGTTGTAGAGCAGATCTTTAGAACGTATTGATCTTGCATAAATGAAACTTTATACTTGTTGAGCAGCAACTCCACATTTCCCTCTCTACCAGTCTATGGAAACCAACTTTTGACTCTATTTCTATGACTGATTATTTTAGATACCCAATGCTCATCTTAAATTTAATGAGTATTTTAACTTAAGATAAAAGTTGAATTGGGTCCATTCTTACTAGTGACCATTTTGTCCTAAAGAAGATAACTTATCAATTACTTGTCAATTATGGTAATATAGCAACACATTTATTACTTTATTTAATTACAAGACTTTGTTACTTCTATAGGATAAATTATAATACATATTACATAATAATTACAATTACAATGCTTTTCACAGTATGTGCAATTCCCATGTAATTCATAAGAACGTGTAATTATAATATTCTTGGGATGTCGACAGATTTGATTTGTGTAATTTATATGACATTCTGATGGGAATGAAATCAAAATCTTTCTAACAGCAAAGTTTCTCAAAAGTATTTCCTTCAATTTTGTTTTTCAAGATAAAAAAGTTTAAAGTTCCCATTAGTTCTAAAATTGAGCAAAAATGAAAATACGAGGTAAAAGATGTTCACCCAAACATGTCAATTATCTTCTTTCTCTTAAGCCAGGATACTAAAAATTCATGCTGTCGCTTTTAGTGTTTCTAACTCAAAATATAGTTATTAGAAACAAATTAATTTCTTAAATATATAAACCATACATTGCTTACACCTAGTTCATATATATTCATAGGATAGTTTTATAAAAATAGGCATATTTAAACATACATGTCCAATTCAAGTCAAATTAATGTGTATAAAAGTCATTTTACTGAGAGGAATAATATTAAAAGCTAATTCAATTAAACAAGAACTATGGTATGAAAGCTTAATCACAACCACACATATAATTTCTTGTTTCTCTTACCTAAAACATTTTCTTTTTCTACATACTCACACCAATTAAACAATAGCTATTAATCACCTATACTCGGAAAGATATTACATTTACTTCTGTAAAAATAAGGCATATTTTACTCTTAATGACCTTGCATTTTATAATATCGGCTCCTAAAAATAAAACATTATTATACTAAAAGCTAGCAGTTCTCAAGCACTTACTATGTGCCAAACACTGTTCTAACTAATTTATAGAAACTCATATAATACAATAATCCTATGAGATAGAAACTGTTATGTTACTGATGAGAACATTGAGGCATAGAGTGCTTAAGTAACTATCCAAGTGCATATAGCTAGAAATGTGGATAAATGTGAAATAGCTAGAGTGGTTGTAAAACAGTGGAATAATTTTGTGTGGGAACATAACAAAATTACTCCATAGAGCTGAGATAACTGTTGACCCAGATATTGAAGGTTTGAGTAGGATGAGAAAGGTAAAGTGTGAGAGGGCATTTCAAAAACCAACCCAAATTCCGCAGATCTAAGAGTTTTCTTAAGATCTGCTGAGTTCTTGGCCGGGCGCGGTGGCTCACGCCTGTAATCCCAGCACTTTGGGAGGCCGAGGCGGGTGGATCATGAGGTCAGGAGATCGAGACCATCCTGGCTAACAAGGTGAAACCCCGTCTCTACTAAAAATACAAAAAAATTAGCCGGGCGCGGTGGCGGGCGCCTGTAGTCCCAGCTACTCGGGAGGCTGAGGCAGGAGAATGGCGTGAACCCGGGAAGCGGAGCTTGCAGTGAGCCGAGATTGCGCCACTGCAGTCCGCAGTCCGGCCTGGGCGACAGAGCGAGACTCCGTCTCAAAAAAAAAAAAAAAAAAAAAAAAAAGATCTGCTGAGTTCTTACAGTGTTATGTACTCTTTGCCTTTATTTCCTTACATAGGTTTCCTCATTCTTCAGCTATTTTGCAGGCTTTCTGGTGACCAGATCATAACTCATTCTCTTATATATGACATTTCTCTGCCTGCTGTCTCCTCTGAAGCTGACGGGAACAGTGCACAATACAGAGACTCAGTGAACACTGCTTGGTTGATTTGTATATATTATCTTTTGTTTTCTTAGAACTTCTTTGAAGGAGATGACCAGTATTTTTATAGGCTAAAATTTATATTAGGAGATGCTAGTAAGATAAGTAGATAGGGGGAAACTCTTCTGAATAAAGTTCCAGTAATTGCTTTCAATTCTAGAGGCTAAGTGTCTTATTTGTGCATTACCTATAAAATAAGTTTCTTGGTTTCATAAGCTATATGTTAGAAATTAGTTTCAAGCCTGTTCTTTATAAAATAAGGAATATTAAGTATTTCTTTCACCTATTTTTGCTAAGCAAACCTCTGATTATCAGGTTCCTAATTATGCTTATATTCTTTTTCTACCGTTAACCAGAACTACTTTTTTTTTTTAGACGGAGTTTCACACTTGTCACCCAGGCTGAATTGCAGTGGCATGATCTCAACCTACTGCAATCTCCACCTCCTGGGTTCAAGCAATTCTCCTGCCTCAGTCTCCTTAGCATCTGGGATTACAGGCACTTTCCATCATGCCTGGCTAATTTTTTTTTTTTTTTTAAGTAGAGACGGGTTTTCACCATGTTGGCCACGCTGGTCTTGAACTCCTGACCTCAGGTGATCTGCCCGCCTCAGCCTCCCAAAGTGTTGGGACTACAGGCGTGAGCCACAGCGCCAGGCCAGACCTACTTTTTTTAAAAGAAAAAAACAATACTATATTTCAGCATGTTTTTCTAATGAAATAAAAAGAAGATATGCATTTTCATGCCATATAAAACTGTCAGGTTTTCTAGAATAAACTCATTAGTAGAATTATGTCTTAATTTTCAGTGAATTTTATTTTTAGTAGCCACAACCACAAATACGCTATATTTATTAATTTGAAAATCTTATATGTTAAAAAGTTGACATTGAAATGTCTTTCCAACTTCCTCTCAGTCCTATATAAATTATTTACCCATTGCTAACACCAGCTGCTTTACTGTTATAGAACTTGAGCTATACCTGCTGTTTTAAAAAGGTTGTGTATGTTTTGATTTTATATGCTTTGCTTCTTTTTGGTGATTTACTGGATGTCCTAAAGGCAACGTGCAGGATCCTTTTATCTTAATGCATCTGTTTTTTTCTTTTTTATACAAAATTAAGGCCAGAAATCTGTTTCAAAATATACTGGAATTCTTTTTAAAAAATCACCTAAGAATTACTTGATTAGTTAGAAATATTTTGAAAATTAAAAAACATGAATCAAACAATGAGTATTTCATAAGCACCAATGTCCTCCTAATTCTCTGTTTGCAAATCCACATGGAAAACAAAATATATGCATACAAAATTATTATTAACAGGGTAATTAAGTATGACACACAATTAGGCAATAAGGCAACACAAAATGCAGTAAGTGTGTTGTACACATAAGAAAATTCAGAGAAGAAAATGATCAGTCTAAGCCGGAATCATCAGAGAAGATCCCTGTGCTGTGGTGTGACTAGGCTGAGCCTGGAAAGGTGAATGTGAGTATGTAAAGAGAAAGGGATGTAAAGGCAAAGGGAGGAGCAAAGATATTCAACCATACAATCAATAACTTAATGTACAGGGGTTTTTTTTTTGCTGATGTAACAAATTACCAGAAACATCATGGTTAAAACAACAAAAGTTTTATTATCTCACAGTTCTGAATGTCAGGAGTCCATCATGAGTATTACTAAGCTAAAATCAAGGTGTGGACAGGGCTACATTCTTTCCTGGAGGCTCTGGAAGAGAATTTACTTCCAGGCACTTGCAGGTTGTTAACAAAATTCAGTTTCTGGCAGTTGTAGAACTGAGGTCCCCTTTTCTTGCTGGCTTTTGCC
This sequence comes from Homo sapiens, assembly GCF_000001405.40. Taxonomy (NCBI): domain Eukaryota; kingdom Metazoa; phylum Chordata; class Mammalia; order Primates; family Hominidae; genus Homo; species Homo sapiens. The sequence goes on along the minus strand of NC_000004.12, from coordinate 91,421,975 downwards.
AAGGGTAATCTAAGCTTCTAAAGCTTGCCTGCATTTCTTCGATCCTGGCTTCCTTTATCTTCAAAGGCAGCTGAAATATAAAGCCCTTTATAATCAAAATCCTTCAGTTGCCTCAGCTTACCTGCCTTTCCTTTTATCATTCCTTTCTCATTGTGGTTTTTTTTTTTAACTTTTTTTAATTTTTAATTTTAAAATATTTAATTGATAAGTGTAAATTATGTATATTGAAGGTGTACAGTGCGGCCATTTGATACATATTTACACTGTGTAATGATTACTACAATCAAATTAACATGCTCATCACTACCTGTCATCGTTTATTTTATGCGTCAACTTGAGTGGGTTACAAGATATACAGACAGGTGGTAAAATGTTTTATCTGGGTGTGTCTATGATATATTTCTGGAAGAGATTAGCATTTGAATCAACAGACTGAATAAAGAAGATACGCCTCCATATAACAAAAAATTAGTAAAAGGACAAATTAGCCATCTTTTCCAAAGTTGGGACATCCATCTTCTTCTGCCTGGGATATCAGAGTTACACATACTCTGGCCACTGTATTTCAGGACTTACACCCACGACTCCACAAGGTTCTCAGGCCTTCAGCCTTGGACGAGAGTTATGCTGTTTCTCTGGTTCTCAGGCTTTCAGACTCCAACTGAATTACACCATAGGCTTTCCTGGTTCTCCAGTTTGCATACTACATATCATGAGACTTTTCATCCTCCATAACCACCTAAGCCAATTCCTGTAATAGATCTCCTTTTATATATCTATGTATACCCTTCTGTTCTGTTTCACAGGACATCTCTGGCTAACACACCACCCATGCTAATTCACATTAGCTGTGATCCCCAGAACTTATTCATCTAATAATTGACAGTTTGTACCCCTGACCAACTTTCCCCATTTCTTCCAACCCCCAGCCACTGGGAACCACAATTCTACGCTCTGCTTCTGTAAGTTAGACTTTTTTAGATTCTACACGTAAGTGAGATCACACAGGATTTGTTTTTCTGTCTCTGGCTATTTCACTTAGCATAATACCCTCCAGGTTTATCCATGTTGTCACAAATGGCAGGATTTCCCTTTTTGCTTTAATGACTAAAAGACATTTTCCATCTATATATCTCTATCTATCTATCTCTATCACATTTTCTATCCATTCATCTGTCAGCTGACACTTAAGTTGTTTCCATATTGTGCCTATGTGAATAATATTGCAGTCAACCTGATGATGAAGATATATCTTTGAAATATTAATTTAATTTCCTTTGGACATATAACCAGAAGTAGAATTTCTGGATCCTATGGTAATTCTATTTTTCATCTTTGAAGAAACTGCATTGTTTTCCACAGGGCTCTACAAACTTACATTTCTACCAACATCATATAAGGGTTCCCTGCTTCTCCAGAGACTTGCCAACAATTGTTATCTCCTGTTTTTTTAACAAAAGCCATTCTAAGAGACGTGAAGTAATATCTCATTGTGATTTTCATTTGCATTTCTCTGACAATTAATGATGTTGAGTACCTTTTTATATATCTGTTGGATATTTTTATGTCTTCTTTGGAAAACTGTCTATTCAGGTCCTTTGCCCATTTTTAAATAAGGTAATTTGTTTTCTTTTCACTATTGAGTTAGATGAGTTCCTTACATATTTCAACCAATTATCAGACATATAGTTTGCAGATATTTTCTCCTGTTCTGTAGGTTGCATTTTCACTTTGTTTCCTTTGCTGTGCTGAAGCTTTTCAGGTGGCTGTTGTCCCATTTGTTTATTTTTGCTTTTGTTGCTTGTGCTTTGGGAGTCATATCCAAGAAACCATTGCCAAGACCAATATCAAGAAGAGTTTACCCTATGTTTTCTTCTAGGACTTTTAGAGTTTCAGATCTTTCATTTAAGTATTTAATCCATTTTGTGTTAATATTTGTATATGTTGTAAGACAAGGGTCCAGTTTCACTCTTTTGCATGTGGTTATCCAGTTTTCCCAAGATTAGTTATTGAAGAAACTCATCTTTCCTAACGTGTATTCTTGGTGCTCTTGTCAAAGCTTTTTTGACTATATATGTGTGGGTTTACTTACAGGCTCACTATTCTATACCATCTGTCCATGAGTTTGTTTTTATGCCAGTACCATCATGTTTTGATTACCATAGCTTTGTAATATAGTTTGGAATTAGTACATGTGATGTCTCCAGATTTTTCTTCTTTCTGAGGATTGCTTTGGCTATTATTGGACTTTTGTGGCTCCATATAAATTTTAGATTTTTTTCTATTATTCTGAAAAATGCCATTGGAATTCTGATAAGGATTGCAATGAATTTATAGATTACTTTGGATAGTATGGACATTTTAACAAGATTAATTCTTTCAATCCATGAGCATGAGATACCTTTGCATTTGTGCCTTCTTCAATTTCTTTCATCAAAATCTCATAATTTTAGGTGTACAGATGTTTTGTCTCCTTCAAATTATTCCTAATATTTTGTTATCGTCGATGCTACTGTAACTGAAATTGTTTTCTTAATTTCTTTTTCAGGTGGCTCATTGTAACTTTTCAGAAATTGAATTTTAATATTGAATCTACGATTTTACCAAATTCATTTATTAGCTTGACAGTTTTTACTGAATTTTCAGGGTTTGCTATATATTAGATCATGTCATTTGCAGAGACAACTTAACTTCTTCCTTTCCAATTTGAATGCCTTCTATTCATTTATTTTTGCCTAATTGTTCTGGCTAAGACTTCTAGTATTATCTTGAATGCAGGTGGCAAAAATGGACTTTTTTTGTCTTTCTCCTGATATTAGAGGAAAAGCTTCAGCTTTTCACTATTGAGTATGTTAGCTGTGGGCTTGTTTTATATGACCACTCATTATGCTGAGATACATTGTTTTATACCTAATTTGTTGACAGTTGTTATCGTGAAAAAGTGTTGAAAAATTTTTATGCATCTATTGAGATGATCATATGATTTTTACTGTACATATTGTAAATGTGATATATTACACTTATTGATTTGTGTATGTTGAACCATACTTGTACCCCATGGATAAATCCTACTTGATCATGGTTTATGATTCTTTTAATGTGCTGTTGAGTTTGGTTTGCTAGCATTTTCTTGAGGATTTTTGCATATACGTTTATCAGGGATATTGGCCTGTAATTTTCTTTTCTTATAATGTCCTTCTCTGGCAAAGCTTTTGTCTTTAATACTTGATACCAAAGTATCAAGGTAAGGCTAGCATAGTAAATGAGTTTGGGAGGTGTTTCTTCTTTAATTTTTTGGAAAGTTTGAGAAGGTTGTATTTCTTCTTTAAAGGCTTGGTAGAGTTAACCTGTAAAACCATCAAATTCTAGGTTTTCATTGTTGGGTGTTTCTTTGATTACTGATTCAATCTCCTTACCCATTATTGATCAGTTCAGATTTTCTATTTCTTTATGATTTAGTCTCGGCAGGTTTCATGTTTCTACAAATTTATTCATTTCTTTTGGTTACACAATTTAATAGTGTATATTTGTTCATAGTATTATGATCTTTTGTATTTCTGTGGTATAATTTGTAATTTCTCTTCTTTCATTTAACATTTTATTTATTTGAGTCTCACTCTTTTTCTTGGTTAGCCTATCTGGAGTTTTGTCAATTTTGTTTTTTTTTTTTTTAATTAAAAAATCTCTGAATTTTGTTGATTTATATATTGTTTTTCTAGTCTCTATTTCATTTATTTCAGTTCTAATCTGTATTATTTCTTTCCTGATGCTAACTTTGGGCTTAATTTGTTCTTTTATTCTATTTCCTTCAGGTGTGAATTTAAGTTGTTTATCCAGTATCTTTCTTTTCTCTAAATGTAGGCATTGGTCACAGCTTCCCTTCTAGAACTGCTTTTTTGTTTGCATCCCATACATTCTGGTAAGTTATGTTTCAATATTCTTTTGTGTCAAGTCACTGTTTACCAATTTTCGATTTTTCTTCCTGTTGTTGATTTTTAATTTTATAACAGTGTGGTCAGAAAAGATACTTGATATGATTTCAAGCTTCTTAAATTTGTTAGGATTTGTTTTGTGGCTCAACATATGCTCTATCCTAGAGAATATTTTTTAAATTCTCTTCAACTTTTATTTTAAGTTCCAGGGTACACGTGCACAATGTGCAGGTTTGTTACATAGGTAAACATGTGTCACGGTGGTCTGCAGCACAGATCAGCCCATCACCTAGGATTAAGCCCAGCATCCATTAGCTATTCTTCCTGATGCTCTCTCTCCCCTTGACCCCCAATGACAGGCCCCAGTGTGTGTTGTTCCTAAACATGTATCTATGTGTTCTTATCATTCACCTCCCACTTATAAGTAAAAACATGCAGTGTTTGGCTTTCTGTTCCTGCATTAGTTTCATGAGGATAATGGCTTCCAACTCCATCCATGTCCCTGCAAAGAACAGGATCTCATTCCTTTTTATAGCTGCATAGTATTCCATGGTATATATGTACCACATTTCCTTCATCCAGTCTATCATTGATGAACATTTGGGTTGATTCAATATCTTTGCTATTGTGAATAGTGCTGCAATAAACATATGCATGCATGTATCTTTATAATAGAATGATTTATATTCCTTTGGCTATGTACTGAGTAATGGGATTGCTGGGTCAAATGATATCTCTGCTTCTAGATCAGTGAGAAATCACCACACTGTATCCACAATGGTTGAACTAATTTACACTTCCACCAATCTTTTCCTACACAGCTGTGCCAGCATCTGTTGTTTCTTGATTTTTTAATAATCATCATACTCACTGGCATGATATGGTATCTCATTGTGGTTTTGATTGGCATTTCTCTAATGATCAATGATGTTGAGGCTTTTTTTCATATGTTTGTTTGCTGCATGAATGTCTTCTTTTGAGAAGTGTCCATTTATGTCCTTTGCTCATTTTTTAATGGGGTTGTTCAGTTTTTTTCTTGTAAATTTGTTTAAGCTCCTTGTAGACTCTGGATATTAGACCTTTGTCAGATGGACAGATTGCAAAAATTTTCTCCCATTTTGTAGGTTTTCTGTTCACTCTGATGATAATTTCTTTTGCTGTGCAGAAACTCTTTAGTTTAAGTAGATCCTATTTGTCAATTCTGGCTTTTGTTGCAATTCCTTTTGACATGTTCCTCATGAAATCTTTGCCAGTGCCTATGTCCTGAATGGTATTGCCTAGATTTTCTTTGAAGGTTTTCATAGTTTTTGGTTTTGCAGTCAAGTCTTTACTCCATTTTGAGTTAATTTTTGTATAAGATATAAGGAAGGGGTCCAGTTTCAATTTCCTGCATATGGCTAGCCAGTTCTCCCGGCACCACTTATTAAATAGGGAATCCTTTCCCCATTGCTTGTTTTTGTCAGGTTTGTCGAAGATAAGATGATTGCAGGTATGCAGTCTTATTTCTGTTTTCTCTATTCTGTTACATTGGCCTATGTGTCTGTTTTTGTCAGTGTCATGCTGTTTTGGCTACTATAGCCTTGTGATATAGTTTGAAGTCAGGTAGTGTGATGACTCCAGTTTTGTTCTTTTTGCTTAGGATTCTCTTTCCTATTCAGGCTCTTTTTTGGTTCCATCTGATTTTTAAAATAGTTTTTTTTTTCTAATTCTGTGAAGAATGTCAATGGTAGTTTAATGGGAATAGCATTGAATGTATAAATTCGTCTGGGCAGTATGACCATTTTCACAATATTGATTCTTCCTATCCATGAGCATGGAATGTTTTTCCATTTGTATGTGTTCTCTCTGATTTCCTTGAGGAGTAGTTTGTAGTTCTCCTTGAAGAGGTCCTTCACTTCCCTTGTTACCTGTATTCCTACCCAAGACTGAACCAGGAAGAAACTGAATCCCTGAATAGACCAATAACAAGTTCTGAAACTGAGGCAGTAATAAATAGCCTATCAATTAAAAAAGACCAGGACAAGATGGATTTACAGCTGAATTCTACCAGACATAAAATAAGAGTACCATTCCTGGTGAAACTATTCCAAACAATTGAAAATGAGGGACTCCTGATGATGCAGTTAGCATCATCCTGATACCAAAACCTGGCAGAGATACAACAAAAAAATAATAAAACTTCAGGCCAATATCCCTGATGAACATCAATGCAAAAATCCTCTATTAAAATACTGGCAAACGAAATCCAGCAGCACATCAGAAAGCTTATATAACACAATCAAATTGGCTTCTTCCTGGAATGCAAGGTTGGTTCAACATATGCAAAGCAATAAATGTAATTCATCACATAAACGAAATAAATACAGAAACCATATGATTATTCCAATAGACATAGAAAAGGCCTTCGATAATATTCAACATCGCTTCATGGTAAAAACTCTCAATAAACTGGTATTGAAGGAACATACCTCAAAATAGTAAGAGCCATATATGACAAACCCATAGCCATATCATACAGAATGGGCAAAAGCTGGAAGCATTTCCCTTGAAAACCAGCACAAGACAAGGATGCCCTCCCTTACCATGCTTAATCAACATAGTATTGGAATTTCTGGCCAGGGCAATCAGGCAAGAGAAAGAAATAAAGGATATTCAAATAGGAACAGAGGAAGTCAAATTATCTTTTATTGCAGATGTCATGATTCCATGTCTAGAAAACCCCATCATCAACTCAGCCCAAAAGCTTGTTAAGCTGATTAGCCACTTCAGCAAAGCCTCAGATACAAAATAGATCTGCAAAAACTGCTAGCATTCATACACATCAACAAGAGGCAAGCAGACAGCCAAATCATGAATGAACTCCCATTCACAATTGCTATCTTGGAGAATATTCTGAGTAAAGTTAAGATGAATGTGTATTCTGATGCTGTTAGATGGAATGTTCTGTATACATCTGTTAGGTCTATTTGCCACATAGCACTATTCAAGTCCACTGCTTCCTTATAGGTTTTGTGTCTGGATGATCTATTCATGTTGAAAGTGGGGTATAAAAGTCTCCTACTATTATTGTATTGCTGTCTATATCTACTTCAGTTCTACTAACATTTGCTTTATATACATAGGTGTGTCAATTTTGGGTGCATATGATGCACTTACTTATACTTACATTTGTTATGTTCTCTTGAATCAATCAACCCATTATATAATGATTTTATATAATGACCTTCTTTGTTTCTCATGTGATATTTTTAATTGTAAGTGTATTTTGTTTAATATAAATATAGTCACCTTTGCTCTGTTTACAATTTAGATGGGTTTTGTTTTTCAGTCATTTTGCTTTCAACCTATGTTTGTCTTTATGGCTAAAGTTGGTCTCTCATAGGTAGCAAATGTTGGATTTCTACTGTAAAATTCTTTTGGCCACTCTACATCTTTTGATTGGAGAATTTAATCCATTTGCATTTAAAGAGATAATAAATAGGCATAGTCTTACTATTGCCATTTTGTTCATTGTTTTCTGGCTGTCTCATGGATCCCCTGTTCCTTTCTTCCTCTCTTGCTGCCTTCCTTTAAATTTGTGAATTTTTTTGAAATGATATGCTTCTCTTTTATGTATCTACTACAGGTTTTTTTCCTTACAGTCACCATTGGGTTTACATAAAACATCTTAGTGTTATAAAATTTTATTTTAAGCAAATAACAACTTAACTTCAATTGCATGGAAGAACTCTACATTTTCACTGCCCCCTCAAATTTAATGTTATTGATGTCACACTTTGCATATTTTATATTGTGTAAGCATTAATACATTATTGTAGTGATAGTTATTAGTATTTTTGTCTTTTAACATTTCTGTTAAAGTTAAAAGTAATTTATATGCCACCATTACAGTATTAGAGCATTCTGATTTGACCATATATTTACCTTTAGCAGTGAGTTTTATATTTTCTTAAGTGTTCACATTGTTACTTAGCAGCATTTTGTTTCAACTCAAAGACTTCCTTTTAGAATTTCTTGTGACAGCTTTCCTGGTGATGAACTCTCTTGGCATTTGTTTATCTATAATGTCTTTATCTTTTCTTCACGTATGAAAGACCACTTTTCTTGGTATAGTATTTCTGGTTGATAGTTTTTTTTTCTTTCAGCAATTTTAATATATTATCCCACTCTCTCCTGGCTTGTAAGGTTTTTGCTGAGAAGTCTGCTGATAGCCTTTTGTAGGTTCCCTTTTATGTGACAAGTCTTGTTGCTTTTAAAATTCTCTCTTTGTTCTTGACTGTTGACAATTTGATTATAATGTGTCTTAGATGATTTTTTAAATTTATCTTGCTTAGATCCCCAGAGCTTTATTATTCTGTATGTCCATGTCCTTCTTAAGATGGTAGAAGTTTTCAGTAAGTACTTCTTTAAATAAGCTTTCTGGCTTTTTCTCTTTTCTCCTTCTAGGATGCTCTTAATTCATATATTCACACACTTCATGGTGTCCCATAGGTCCCTTATGCTTGTTTTAATTTTTTTCATTCTTTTTGTTTTTTTTTGTTGTTGTTGTTCTTGTTCTGATTGGCCTATATTTTCTTTTTTTGAGAGACATGGTCTCACTCTGTCACCCAGGCTTGAATGCAGTGGAAGGATTATAGCTCACTGTCACCTTGAATTTCTGGGCACCAGTGATCCTCCCACTACCACCTCCTGAGTAGCTAGGACTACAGGTGTGTGCCACCAAACCTGGTACTTGTCTAGCTAATATTTAATTTTAACATTTTTGTAGAGATAAGGTCTTGCTATGTTTCCCAGGCTGGTCTCAAACTCCTGGCCTTAAGCTATCTTCATGCCTATGTCTCCCAAAGTGCCGGGATTACAGGAGTGAGCTACCATGCCTGGCCAACCTATCTTTGAGTTTACTAAGTCTTCTGTATGATCAGGTCTGCTGCTGAAGCTCTCCATTAATTTTTTAAATTTCTATCATTGTATTTTTTAGCTCCAGGATTTCTGTTTGGGTTTCTTTTTTTATGGCTTCTAATTCTTTATTAAACTCCTTACTTTGTTCATGCATTTTTTTCCTAATATCATTTAGTTATCTGTTTTTTTTTTGTTTCCTTATGCATCTCATTGACCTTCTTTACAATCATTATTTTGAATTATTTTTAGGCAATTCATAGATCCCCCCTTCTTTAGGGTTAGCTCCTGGAGCTTTATTTGTTTCATTTGGTGGTATCATGTTTCCAAGATATTTCATTATCTGTGTAGCCTTGTGTAGGTATCTGTGCATTTGAAGGAATAAATACCACTTCCATTCTTTACAGACTGGTCTCAGAATGTAAAGACCTTCTCCTGTTTGGTATCTGGGATGATAAAGTTGCTTAAAAGATAATTGTCTGGTGGGGTTTGAGCCAGGACATGTGCCTACTGTTGAATCTGCCGCAGAGTCTATGGTTGGTGGGCCTGTTACTGGAGACTCCAGTGATTATGGATTTGTCTGGTCCCTGGGTGGGTTGGACTTCCATAAGGACCTCAGTCAGTAGCACTGGCACCAGGATGAATACCTGCTTTCATGTCCACAGATGGAGAGCTTGTTACCAATTTCACAGATGTGTGTGCCTTCTTCCAGGTTTCTGGAAGAGATTCCACTTGGTAACCAAGTGGGTCTCTGGACAAGCAGTATTGGCCTCAGAATATAGTTGAGGGAGGTTGGAGCTGTGTCTTACAGCTGTTTCATGGCTCACAGCTGGATCTGAGTTGGTGGATCTGTCACTCAAGGCTTGAGTGGGTGTGACTCTTCCCTGATTCCTCGGTGGATGGTTCTGGTGGCATGGCAAAAGCCAAACAGGAATATAGATATATTTACAGGGGGATAGGCTCTGGAGTTGGGACCATGATTAGAGATCTGGCCACCTGGGCATGGGTCTGCCCTCTCAAAACAATTCTTCCAGGGCTTAGGCTCCACTGGAGTTTCCTGAATCCCAATACCCCTACAAAGTCACTTTTCTTTTCCTACAGATGGCTGCAAAATTATTGTTGCTGTGAAGAGATACAAGTGGAGAACCTCCTAACCCTGCTTCTTGCTGAAGTCACTTCCCCCTCATCTGCCTTTCAGGGTCCAAGGATTACACTGGGCCCATCTGGATAACCATGATAATCTATGTATTTTAAGGCCCACTGATTCCATATGCAAAGTCTTTTTTTTTTTACTGTGTAACAACATAACACTAGTCATGTTTATAGGCATAACACCAGAGGCAAAGATCCTGGGGGTCAAAATCCTGGCTATCTTGTTCATCCAAAACATTTTTTTTTTGTGCCACTAGCTCCAATATCAGTAGTGGGATGAAAAAAAAAAAATGAAAACCCTTTCTCAAACTCTCAAAGGACTCACAGCCTTATGAGAGAAAAAATCATAATTATGGGTTTGGTACTAAAATAAACACCATACAGGTGTATAAATTATACAACTAAGCACACAAATTAGGTCACAGAAAATGGGAAGCAAAATATTAAATATATTAACTAGTCAAGATTTTATATATATATATATATATATATATATATATATATGTATATATGCAGAAATTTAGTGATTAATTACTTCCAGATAGTTTTATCTGGAAGGTGGTATCAGATAAATTAAGGCATTCAAAACCCTTGCAGAATAGGTTAGAAATACTGAGCAACAGAGGAAAAATAGGGAGTCACTGAAGATTCTTGGAAAGGACACTAAATTCTTATCAAAAATTCTATCTATGAGGATGGCTTAAGTAATCTTCTAGTACAGCCATTTCAGTTGGACTTAATTTCTTGCAAGTAATTGGTATAACACTGAGGACTTAATAACACCCAAGCCTCTTTTCTCCAGATGCAGCTCTTATCCTCTCATGTCAAAATATTATGAGAGGAATATTTTAAGAAATTTAGAAGAGTCCCAAAAGATAGTAATCAGACAGTAATTTCTAAAATCTATATTATAGGAAAATTTATAAAATTACATAAAATTATATAAATATTGTGAATCTTCAATCTAACAACAGATTATTAACTTCACATAACTATAATCATTTTAGTTGGGGATGAAGTGACTTCATACAGAAGACAATGTACTTTTTAGTATATGATGCTAAGATCACTAAAAATCTAGCTTCTGAATGTGCTGTATTTTCCAAATATATTGTGTTATTGATTTTGTTTAGTGATTAAACATTATCATAAATCATGTTTGTTGGATACATGCTTATAAAACATTTAGAAAAAAAGCTGTATTAAAATAAATAATTCCTAAATTGACATTTCATTGAATCAAAACCAAGGGAAATAGACCAGATAAATTACATAAAGGTAACATAAAATTATACATTCTTTTTCTCTTTATTCTTCCTAATACTTTCCTTTATTTCATTTGCCATAATATGTTTTGCCATAATAAAATAAGGCAGAGAATATTTAAGTTTTCTAAAGAAACTAGTGATTATCATTGGTTGGCTGCTTGGTACCTGAGAAAATTCTTTTGTAAAAATAGGTTCTTCAGCTTTCGAAGGACTCAAGCAACCAGAACATAAAGGTATACATGCTCAGTACATCTTTCATGAAGTTCATTCAAATGTTTCAAGGCAGCAAACATAAAAGAAGCCTTTAAAAATTTTCATAGTAGATCAAACAAAGATGTGAGTAAATTACATTCTGTATTCCCTTCTCAGCTCATACTACCCTTTAAGTTATTTCATCTATGGTAAAAAAAAATGATGGAAAGACAGTATTTAGTATTTTAAATTGAAAAAAATCTTGGATTTGAATATAAGAAGTGAAATTTAAAATGTCTTCCTCCTCCAAAATTTTACTCAATTATCCAGTAGGAATAACAGTGAAATTGCTTACAAAGCTTTTGACTAGGTAACTTTTTAGAAATAGACATGATATTGATAAATTCCCCAGTTCAAGAAAAACAAAGAAAACCAGGACTGAGTAAAATGGTGGGTCATTTTGCTGTATTTTCTCCTTTTCCCAGTCACATTAATACACTGATTCTGATAAGGATATGGAAATTCTTTAAAGTTAAGGAACTTACTGTCAATGTGTTTATTTTGCACGAATCTAGAGAATATGTGGTAAACGGCCTGAGGCCACAGTGGGCAGATCACCTGAGGTCGGGAGTTCGAGACCAGCCTGGCCAAATGGTGAAAACCTGTCTCTACTAAAAATACAAAAATTAGCCAGTCATGGTGGCAGGCGCCTGTGATCCCAGCTACTCAGGAGGCTGAGGCAGGAGAATCGCTTGAACCCAGGAGGCAGAGATTTCAGTGAGCTGAGTGCCACTGCATTCCAGCCTGGGTGACCCAGCGAGACTCTGCAAAAGAAAAAAAGAAAAAAGAAAAAGACAAAGAAATTAGTATTTTTTACTTTAAGAGTAATATTCACTGATCACATTATACTTTGGGTAGCTATAAGATTTTGAATGTATAAACAGTATTGCTTGGGAAGAATAAAAATCTATATTTATAACTGAACTAAAGGTTTTTGAAATTACTTTTGAAAATTTTTTAAAATAGAACACATGGAGATGGGAAGGAAACTTTGTTGGCTTAAAAATAAAATTTGAAAACTACAGAAACATTTAAATCTGGAAAAAGAATATAAAATTAAGTGTCACTGGAAATGTCAGTGTAAATTAAATCTCACTAATAACCTACAATGAATGGTGATAAATAGAACAGCAAAAATATGTAAATCAAGGTTATAAGATACTAAAATGAATAAATTGGGCAATATAAGGGCATATTAAGTGGTAATTAAAATCATTCAAATAAATGTCTGCATCAAAAATGAACCATTTAATTGTTCCTAATGCAAAGTTTATTAAGAAGATTGTTTAATCTTTACTGAGATAGGGGAAAAGGTCTACTGAGATTCACTATTGTAAATGATTCTTTTTTTGTTTTTGCCAATGTCTTTGCCTCAGAAATCTAGAGGATGCCATGTGAATAACATTTGTCTAAGTTTCAGGTGTTTGCTTTGTCCGAATGGAGTATGATACATGAATGGAAATTGTTTTCCCCCACAGCAAATAAGGTGCCAAGAAAAGACACAGAGGTTGTGATCATGAACACCCAGGTCTGACCTGAGGGTATCCATTATCATTACTTTTCTAGATAAAATACAGGAGTACACTATGGTTGGTTTACTCATCTGAAATTCATCATATCTAATCTTAAAGCAATGATTTAAAAAATATAAAGCACTGTATATGTCTGCTACCTTCACAGCTGTATCATCCTGCCATTGTGATATATAACATTTTCCTTTGTTTCTATCTGAATGTTATATAAGCTGGTGTTCATAAATACAAGGCATGTGGAAATTATAAAGCACCTGGAGACAGGTCATGAAAATTACTGAATGCCCCAGCAGCAAAGCCAACAACAACAAGAGAAATGTTTAGATGACTATGAACACCTATATCAGATTGCAGGCAAATAAAATTTAGGAAGAGATGTAAAACTTTAAAGCAAAAACTGTTGAATTTTCAGTCTGAGGATTCAGTATTAAAAATAGGAAATGATAAAAATATTTTAAAAGGTTGGATGTAATATATTTGCTTAAAGGCAAATAAGTCATCATAAAAAGGCTGGCTGATATAACCACCTGGTTTGGAACTGGATAACAATTTAATCTTGCATCATGAGATAAAGCATTCTTGTACAATTGATAGTAGAGAATTATACTAAATTATACTGTTATGTGAAAATTGTTCTTAATTTCATTTTACTATTTCCATAGACAGAGATATATTTGTCTCTGTATCCATAAAAGGTAAGAGGTTTTCAAAGTCAGAAGAATGAGGAAGTGAAAAGAAATATTTACTTTTTGTTTTCCATTTCAATTTTGATGTCATCATCTGATTTTAAACATCATGAACATCTCTCTTTATCTTAATACAACTGAGGCTGTTGTACTCTAGACATTCATCTCTGTGCTAAAGGATTAGTACTCACTTTTGGCCTGAGGGCTTTTTTTTTTACTGGCCTGGAGCACTATCAGCTCCTAGGCTGAGCAAGCCGGAAGTGCAGGAGCATCAACAGCCCTCACTGAAACGGCAATAGACCACTGACAAATGGAGTTAGTGGGTAAATTTCCCAACCCTCTAGCTCCACAGAAGAGATGACTACAGTTTGAATATTTGACTCTCCACACCTCATGTTGAAATTTCATCCCCAGTGTTGGAAGTGGCGCCTCCTGGGACATATTTGAGTCATGGAATGGATCCCTCATGGGTGGTGTTGACCACAAAGTAATGAGTGAGTTCTCACTCTACTAGTTCCCTGTAGAGCTGGTTCCCCATCTCTCTTGTCCCTTCTCTCACCATGTGATCTCTGTATAGAAGCCTGCTCCTGTTTCCCTTCTACCATGAGTGGAAGCAGCCTGAAGCTCCCGCATCAGAAGCAGAAGCTACATGATGCTTCTTGTATAGCCTGTACAACTGTGAGCCAAATAAACCTCTTTTCTTTATAAATTACTTGGCTTCAAGTGTTTCTTTATAGTAACACAAACATACTAAAAAGGCCGTTCATTCTCTTCTTGTCTACCTCTCTAATGTGCATGACAACATGAGATAAAAAGTGGCAGTAAGTCCTTGAACTCTTAGGAACTTATTTGTAAAGAGTTCATTTCAACCCCGGGTACAGGATGCGTATAAATACATGGTCACTCTCCACAGATTGCATGTTAACAAGACACGGTTTTTGCCTATTATTTTTGCATGTAGCCTGTTTTTGTAGACTTGCTTTCACATCTTAATTTTTAAAATCTTTGAGAGCTTTAATGATTTGGATCTCGAGTTGTTCAAAGTAATTTGTATACTTATTTTATTCCTTCTAGCTATTTATTTATTTTTCTTGTATGTCACTTAGAAAGGCCAAGCATGAAATTGGAGCAGCAAAGCAAGAACAAATTTATTGATATGAAACTGCTCTGAAAACTCAATAGGTGTGCAGCAAAGCAAGAAGGGTTAAAGGGGCTGAATAATTCATTGAAGTTTTAAGCATCAATAAATAATACTTACAGTGAGGATTGTCTGCTTTGCAATATTAGGTATGAAATGTGAGTTTAAAATAAAACACATCTTCAATGTGCCATGTTGTGAGAATATTCAAATAAACAAAGGTTGTTTTTTTCATTAATAATTCTGTGGCTAACAATACTATGAATAAAAAAACTGAGGACTTAGAAACTTATTCTGTCTAGTGCCTCAAGTTTTATCTACATAGCTCAAATTCATTAAACATGGATAACAATATAATAAAAGCAGAATATTTTATTTATACAACATGTTGTACAGTCATGAAGATATTATCATTTTAACTATAAATTGAAAGTCTTTTATTTATGTACCAGGAAAAATCATGAATACATTGTCAGCTATATTAAAAACAAAACAAATGACACATTCTTACATAACATGCGATAACTAGCACTACTGTTTCTATCAGCTCTAGAATTTACTAGCGTGTATTTGTGGAACTGCTTATTTACAAACAGATGAGTCCCAGTGGTAAGGAATAAACATTTAGCAACTTTAAAGAGTCGACATATTATTGACACAATTGGCAAGATGGCTATTACTAAATAAAGAACCACATTGAATCCTAAGAAACAAATTAAAAGATATGTTAACTAGAATGTCATAAAACAATATAGTATACTGGAAACAGTATAAGCTTTGGAGTAAAAGAGACCCTGCTGTTTGACTTCTTAAATTTATTAACTTGAACAACATAGGAAAGAAGAAGGGGTTTGAAGGTGATGCAAAGCATGAATTGCTTAGAAGTCTATTATGCAATTTCATGCTACTTATTGTACAAGTTAACAAATTATGCAATTTCATGGTTCTCCTGAATACAGCACACTTATGGGTCTTGACTCTTATTATGCAATTTCATGTTACAAGTTAACAAATTTCTCTGTTTTGCACTTTCTTCATTATTATCTATGTTAATAATTTCACCTACCTCTCATAGGTTTGTTGTATGGATAAGAATATACATATATCGGGAGGCAGTTCCAAGATGGCCAAATAGGAACAGCTCCAGTCTACAGCTCCCAGCATGAGCAATGTAGAAGACGGGTGATTTCTGCATTTCCAATTGAGGTACCAGGTTCATCTCACTGGGGCTTGTTGGACAGTGGGTGCAACCTAAGGAGATTAAGCCAAAGCAGGGTGGGGCATTGCCTCACCTGGGAAGTGCAAGGGGTCGGAGAATTCCCTTTCCTAGCCAAGGGAAGCCATGACAGATGGTACCTGGAAAATTCGGACACTCTTACCCTAATACTGTGCTTTTCCAACGGTCTTAGCAAATGGCACACCAGGAGATTATATCCTGTGCTTAGATTGGAGGGTCCAATGCCACGGAGCCAGGCTCACTGCTAGCACAGCAGTCTGATATTGAATTGCAAGGCAGCCCCGAGGCAGGGGGAGGGGCGCCAGCCATTGCTGAGGCTTCAGTAGGTAGATTGTAAAAATTTTCTCCCATTCTGTAGGTTGCCTATTCACTCTGATGGTAGTTTCTTTTGCTGTGCAGAAGCTCTTTAGTTTAATTAGATCCCATTTGTCTATTTTCGCTTTTGTTACTGTTGCTTTTGGTATTTTAGACATGAAGTCCTTGCCCATGCCTGTGTCTTGAATGGTATTGCCTAGGTTTTCTTCTAGGGTTTTTATGGTTTTAGGTCTAACATTTAAGTCTTTAATCCATCTTCAATTAATTTTTGTATAAGGTGTAAGGAAGGGATCTGGTTTCAGCTTTCTACATATGGCCAAGCAAATGGAAAACAAAAAAAAAAACCAGGGGTTGCAATCCTAGTCTCTGATAAAACAGACATTAAACCAACAAAGATCAAAAGAGACAAAGATAGCCATTACATAATGGTAAAGGGATCAATTCAACAAGAAGAGCTAACTATCCTAAATATATATGCACACAATACAGAAGCACCCAGATTCATAAGCCAAGTCCTTAGAGACCTACAAAGAGACTTACACTCCCACACAATAATAATGAGTGACTTTAACACCCCACTGTCAACATTAGACAGATCAACAAGACAGAAAGTTAACAAGGATATCCAGGAATTGAACTCAGCTCTGCACCAAGTGGACCTAATAGACATCTACAGAACTCTCCACTCCAAATCAACAGAATATACATTCTTCTCATCACCTCATTGCACTTATTCCAAAATTGACCACATAGTAGGAAGTAAAGCACTCCTCAGCAAATGTAAAAGAACAGAAATTATAACAAACTGTCTCTCAGACAATGGTGCAATCAAACTAGAGCTCGGGACTAAGAAACTCACTCAAAACCCCTCAACAACATGGAAACTGAACAACCTGCTCCTGAATGACTACTGGGTACATAATGAAAGGAAGGCAGAAATAAAGAGGTTCTTTGAAACCAATGAGAACAAAGACACAACATACCAGAATCTCTGGGACACATTTAAAGCAGTGTGTAGAGGGAAATTTATAGCACTTAATGCCCACAAGAGAAGCAGGAAAGATCTAAAATTGACACCCTAACATCACAATTAAAAGAACTAGAGAAGCAAGAGCAAACACATTCAAAAGCTAGCAGAAGGCAAGAAATAACTAAGATCAGAGCAGAACTGGAGGAGACAGAGACAGAAAAAAACCCTTCAAGAAATCAAGGAATCCAGGATCTGTTTTTTTGAAAACATCAACAAAATTGATAGACTGCTAGCAAGACTAATAAAGAAGCAAAGAGAGAAGAATCAAATAGATACAATAAAAAAAGAAAAGGGATATGACCACCGATCACACAGAAATACAAACTACCATCAGGGAATACTATAAACACCTCTATGCAAAGAAACTAGAAAATCTAGAAGAAATGGATACATTCCTGGACACATACACCCTCCCAAGATTAAACCAGGAAGAAGTTGAATCCCTGAGTAGAGCAATAACAGGCTCTGAAATTGAGGCAATAATTAATAGCCTACCAACCAAAAAAAGTCCAGGACCAGATGGATTCACAGCAAAATTCTACCAGAGGTACAAAGAGGAGCTGGTACCATTCCTTCTGAAACTATTCCAATGAGTAGGAAAAGAGGGAATCCTCCCTAACTCATTTTATGAGGCCAGCATCATCCTGGTATCAATGTCTGGCAGAGACACAACAAAAAAAGAGAATTTTAGACCAATATCCCTGATGAACATCGATGCAAAAAATCCTCAATAAAATACTGGCAAACTGAATCCAGCAGCCCATCAAAAAGCTTATCCATGATGATGAAGTCAGCTTCTTCCCTGATATGCAAGGCTGGTTCAACATACACAAATCAATAAATGTAATCCATCATACAAACAGAACCAAAGACAAAAACCACATGATTACCTCAATGGATGCAGAAAAGGCATTCAACAATATTTAGCGGCCCTTCATGCTAAAAATTCTCAATAAATTAGGTATCGATGGGACGTATCTCAAAATAACAAGAGCTATTTATGACAAACCCACAGCCAATATCATACTGAGTGGGCAAAAGCTGGAAGCATTCCCTTTGAAAACTGGCACAAGACAGGGATGCCTTTTCTCACTACTCCTATTGAACATAATGTTGCAAGTTCTGCCCAGGGCAGTCAGGCAGAAGAAAGAAATAATAGGTATTCCATTAGCAATGAGGAAGTGAAATTGTCACTGTTTGCAGATGACAAGATTGTATATTTAGAAAACCCCATCATCTCAGCCCAAAATCTCCTTAATCTGATAAGCGACTTCAGCAAAGTCTCAGGATACAAAATCAACGTACAAAAATCACAAGCATTCCTATACACCAATAACAGACAAACAGAGATCCAAACCATGAGTGAACTCCCATTCACAATTGCTACAAAGAGAATAAAATACCTATGAATCCAACTTATAAGAGATGTGAAGGACCTCTTCAAGGAAAACTACAAACCACTGCTCAACGAAATAGAAGAAGACACAAACAAATGGAAGAACAGTCCATGCTCATGGATAGGAAGAATCAATATTGTGAAAATGGCCATACTGCCCAAGGTAATTTATAGATTCAATGCCATCCGCATCAAGCTACCAATGACTTTCTTCACAGAATTGGAAAAAACTACTTTAAAGTTCATATGGAACCAAAAAAGAGCACTCATTGCCAAGACAATCCTAAGCAAAAGGAACAAAGCTGGAGGCATCATGCTACCTGACTTCAAACTATACTACAAGGCTACAGTAACCAAAACAGCATGGCACTGGTATCAAAACAGAGAGATAGACCAATAGAACAGAACAGAGTCCTCAGAAATAATACCACACATCTACAAACATCTGATCTTTGACAAACCTGAGAAAAACAAGAAATGGGGAAAGGATTCCCTATTTAACAAATGGTGCTGGGAAAACTGGCTAGCCATATGTAGAAAGCTGAAACTGGATCCCTTCCTTACACCTTATACAAAAATTAACTCAAGATGGATTAAAGACTTAAATGTTAGACCTAAAACCATAAAAATTCTAGAAGAAAACCTAGGCAATACCATTCAGGACATAGGCATGGGCAAGGACTTCATGTCTAAAATACCAAAAGCAACAGCAACAAAAGCCAAAATAGACAAATGGGATCTAATTAAACTAAAGAGCTTCTGCACAGCAAAAGAAACTACCATCAGAGTGAATAGGCAACCTACAGAATGGGAGAAAATTTTTACAATCTACCCATCTGACAAAAGGCTAATTTCCAGAATCTACAAAGAACTTAAACAAATTTACAAGAAAAAAATCAACCCCATCAAAAACTGGGCAAAGGATATGAACAGACACTTCTCAAAAGAAGACATTTATGCAGCCAACAGACACATGAAAAAATGCTCATCATCACTGCCCATCAGAGAAATGCAAATCAAAACCACAATGAGATACCATCTCACACCAGTTAGAATGGCGGTCATTAAAAAGTCAGGAAACAGGTGCTGGAGAGGATGTGGAGAAATAGGAACACTTTTACACTGTTGGTGGGACTGTAAACTAGTTCAACCATTGTGGAAGACAGTGTGGAAATTCCTCAAGGATCTAGAACTAGAAATATCATTTGATCCAGCCATCCCATTACTGGGTATATACCCAAAGGATTATAAATCATGCTGCTATAAAGACACATGCACACGTATGTTTATTGTGGCACTATTCACAATAGCAAAGACTTGGAACCAACCCAAATGTCCATCAATGATAGACTGGATTAAGAAAATGTGGCACATATACACCATGGAATACTATGCAGCCATACAAAAGGATGAGTTCATGTCCTTTGTAGGGATATGGATGAAGCTGGAAACCATCATTCTGAGCAAACTATCGCAAGGACAGAAAATAAAACACCACATGTTCTCAACTCATAGGTGGGAATTGAACAATGAGAACACTTGGACACATGGTGGGGAACATCACACACCAGGGTCTGTCATGGGGTTGGGGGAGGGGGGACGAATAGAATTAGGAGATATACCTAATTTAAATGACGAGTTAATGGGTGCAGCACACCAACATGGCACATGTATACATATGTAACAAACCTGCACGTTGTGCACATGTACCCTAGAACTTAAAGTATAATAAAAAAAGTATATATATATTATATTGATATGTTATATTATATATAATATATAGTATATCAATGTAGTATATTATATGTAATATATATACAGTATATCTATATTGTATAGTATATACTATATAGTATATCTATGTAGCATAGTATATAACTATATATGTCTTAGAATACACATATATAATTCACCATATTAAACTGCATTAGATATTTTATATTATTAGTTATTTTAATGGCTGAAAGTCAAAAAATGGGTATCTATTTAGATGGGCACGTGAGGTAATGAAGATTAAATAAATAAAACAGCACAATATCTGGATCATAGTAATCACTAAGTATTACTTATTTCCCTCATTCTTCACATTTTCTTTATCTCGAAGAAAAACAGATGATTGAATTAGAAATGTAAATAACTATAAATAGTTCTTAACTTTGAACTGGGTTTATTCCACAAGTGTATCAAATTGAATGACCCAATATTTTTAATGGCATCAATGTCAGCAATCTAAATCACTTAATTAGGTGCCACTGTGCCCTTTTTTCTTAGGTAACAAGGAAGCCAAAAGACCAATTCAGGGGGATAAAATGGTACAACCATAGACTTAATTGAAAATTAAACACAGTGTAATTGAATTATTGGAACATGTTCATAATATACATTTTACAAGCAGTTGATACTTTATTTTTCTAGATATTTAGGGATGCTATACAGATGATAATTATACAAATGATATAATCACATGCCTTGCAGTTATGCTTTCAGAAGGGAGACATAAAAACACTACAAATAGTGTTCCAAAGATGAGTACAATTATAAATATTTTAACTATTGTTAATAAATGGCTTGTGATTTTAAGGGCAAATAGTTACTCAAAATGATGCATCCTAGATAATAAATGATCAATAATATATGGACAAATTAGGTATTCTACAAGTAATAGCAAAGAAGAAGGGATATGAAGGCATTGAAAAGCATATATTGCTTAAAAGTCTATTACATAATTTTATTTAACTTTTTGAAAGATACTTATGTAAAGAAATGTGATGTGTTGAATCTGAGCCCTTCTTAGTACTACTTAACTTCAGCACTTAATACTATTTACTTTTTAAAGGTAGAGATATAGAAATTAGTGAGATCAACAAAATGATTTATATAATGGAATAAAAGGTTTAAGGAAAAGCTGATAGATGCATTTATTAAATCTGAAAAACCAAGCAAGAAAGTAAGTTCTATATGTAAGAGATCTAGTTTTTAAAAAGACAAAACAAATTGCATAGGCAATAAGTGATAGCAACTGCACATTTGCGTCTTAGTGAAACAGAAATTTTAGCCCTAGCATGATGTAAGAGAGAGGGAGTGGCTTAAATCAGTGTTTTGCTCAAGGCAATAATTTGTTGTGCTCAAGTCACATCAATTAGAATCAGACTGAGAGAAGAATGGAAATGATACAGACTTTAGAACTATTCTACATGAGTTCTACCTATATAATTTATAAAAATAGGAAAGTGATGAAAACATACTTTAGAACAGAAAACGTTCAGAGGAAAGGTAAATGAATCACTAAAAAAGAAAGGATTGTTATTTCAGCATGACTATAAATTTACCTCACATATTACAAATTTGGACTCCCAGGGAAGTGGGTAGTGTTAGCACAAGTTTATATTTGCTCTTTCCCCAATTCCTACCAAATGACAGGAAAAATAAAACTAAGGCTACAAAAGAAGAGAGAATTGGAGAAGAAACACCACAAAGAGATGTTAAAAAGTCTTGGACCTGAAAGCTGATGAGTACATGTTAACTGACTTAGCAGGTCAAAGCAAGCTAAAACTAAAACCCTGGGAGCAGGAAACTAAGAAACAGCAGCAGCTATATGAAAGTCTCTTCAGAATCCCTGTTCAGTGGTTAGAGGAATTGATTACCCCTCTGAAGACAGGCATAAAATATAGGGATAAAAATTGAAGTGTTTTATAGGCATAAATTACAATGATGAACATTTTAAAATTTCCTCCTACTTCCTATAATGTTTTTCCCTCCATTAGGACACCTTGGCACATAAAACAGATAAACTTCTTTGTCAATCTTAAGTCATATAGCCATCTTTAAACTATAGATCTAGTATCTTAGCTATCTGATAGGGAAAAGTCAAGACTAGAGTGAATTTATAAGTATCCAGCATTTTCTGAAGGAGTAAGTTAATTATCATGTCTTGCATGATCATTCCCTTGGGGAGCCTTCCTCCCTTTGAGAATTGCTGCCTATCCTCTTGTCAGTGTGCCATGCTCTTATTGTTCATGGTCTAATTCCATGAGTATTACTTTTTGGTGTTCCTCTCTGCCCACTTTTAAAATTAAGTGGTTTAATTTTTTTTACACATCTCACGATTTCTTTTAATGTTTTCCTACATTCCAAAAATTTTATCTATTACTAGTGTATAGTCCTAACTCAATATTTATAATTCAGAATTCTCTTAATTTTCTTAAGCTCTGGACTAGTGCTCCTCAAACACTGGTCTGCACACTGGTCCAAGAATAATTCTGATCTACCCTGAGCTAAGAAACTTGCATCAAAATGTATATAAGCTCTTCTGTCCTTAAGGACCTAAACATGGTTTAGATCAGCTGACTTTTTTTTTTTCCTTGGTAGTAAAATAGGCTTGATGAAGGATATACTGTGCTCATTTACTTTCTGTTGCTGATTCCTCTCTTTAGAGACCAGAACTTCGTTTAGCACTGCTATCATATCATGTAATTGTCTGCCAGGTATCTCTAAATATCTCAATTTTTTAATTAAAGCATTTAATTTCCCCTACACTATGCTCTCTTATTAATGAATACGAATACCCCAATAATAAAAGTGATCTTGTACATTAATGAATTAATTCTGTGCTTTTGTCTCATCTATTTTTTATTATCTTTTAAATAAGTAACCATCACCATTGCTTGTGGATGCTTTTCACAGCTTAAAACTATTTAACTTTTAATTTAAAGTATTTTAAATATAATATTTAAACAATGCTGTTTAAGCAAAAAATCTGTCATAAAGCCTCTTAAATTATCTTTTTTAATTCAGTTTTCATTTTCAGTCCTTCCTCTCCCTATGTAACACAGTTTCCCTTCTAAAATGTAATTATGATGTTACTTAATTGCTTTAAGATTATCTCATGGCCCTCAAATATTTAATAATAATGAAGACAAAAGTCATAATGACAGTAAAACCAGCCAGCTTATATTGAATGTTTACCATGGACCACACATTTTTCTAAGCACTTATAGACATACATCTGATCCTCAAAATAACTATTATAATCATGATTTTACAGATGAGGAGTATGAGACCCAAAAAGTTTTAAAAAAAATAATTACTCATTGCTACCTAGGTAATATGCAAAAATAAAACTCAGTCTACTTCTGAGATTTCAGCATATAATGATTACATTTCTCTGCAAAATGTACAAGGTGCTTCCATTTCTAGCCTCTCTACCCATGCCCGTCCTGATTTCTGGTATCTCCTTCCCAAAACAGTATGCCCCAGCCACACCAAACTACTGACAGCTCTTGGATCATTTCATGTTATTCTGTTATTTCACACCATCACATTTGCTTTCACATTGCCACTGAAATCCTTTCTGTCTGGAAAGTGTCTAATTCTATTAAAATTTTAATTTCCTTTAAGAATTTATTTCTAATTTAATTTATATTAAAAGTCAACTCAAGTTCACTTCCTCAATGAAGCCTTCCATCCAATACCCAGGGAGAGTTTGCACTATCTCATACAAACAATGTTTTCTCATCACCTAGGAATTCAATAAATAATCATGATACCTGCTCTTTAAAAACTTATGGCTTGACAGTGAATAACTAGATAACTAGACAAATAAGTATATAATTAATCCAGTGCTGCTGTGTATACTTTTAAGAAAATGAAATGTAGAAAATCTACAAAAACATAAAGAATGCATGGGTTGCCCAGGCATAGGGATTTTGGCATCTGAGTCACGCATAAAATACATGAAGAATAAAGGATGAAAGGTCCAGCATAAAGGCTATGTTAGGTACATCTTCTTATGTAATCCATTTATTATGGAATGTATCCTTATACAAAATGGTTTGTTTCTTATATCTGTCTTACCCACACCACTGAAGCTACCTAAGACCATGTTCTCTCTTGTCATCATGTAACTGGCACAGAATTGATACATAGTAGTACTCAGTCTAGAATTTCTTAAATGCAGAAATAAATCATTTAATAAGGGCCTAAGAAGAAATCAATGACAAAATGTAAACAAGAGAGTCATTTCAAGAAATATTTAGCAATTTGAAATGATAGTGCTTGTAGACAGATTTTAACATAGAGGATAAACAATACAGAGCCAGATATCAAAGATGCTTCTCTCTAGCTTGGTTGCTTGGCTAGGCAGAAGTGTGATTGTGGAGGGCAATTGCATTTGGGCTTTAGAGTTTGAAGTGTTTGTGGGGCTTCCAGGTTGAGGGTCAATGGTCCTTTTCAATTCCTATCAGTGTTGGGAAAGGTGGCTTCTATCTTATCAGGCTTTAACTTGTCTCCACAGCTGCTCATTTACCACAATTCTTGACTCGTAATAAGCTTTAAAATTTTTTGATTTATGAGTTATTGAATTTAATGGTTAGGTATCAAAGGAAAATCTCTGTAATATTTTTATTTCCCTTGGCGCACTTGAAAATGCTTATCTTCTCAAGTAAAATATCAGAATCAGTAAATGATCACTTAAAATTTTTGTGTGGTTGTGTGTCTTCAGGGTGTATAACATATGGCTAGGCAACTTCAATTATGACAATACAATACAACTGCCCGCATCATTATTGTTTAGAGATGAATAATACATTGCTAAGACAGATGCTCTCCTAATTTGATCAGCTTACTGAAAATTTAGGTACATTCTTCTAGTACAAGTTGCCAAAAAGAGAAAGCTCAATTAAATGTACCTTTGCATTTAAAATGTTACTATCACAGCAAATCTCATAAATACATAAGTGATAGCTTACTAAGTTCCAGAGTCTGAAGTTGAACATTTGAGATATCATCATCAGACTTAAAACTTTCCTATCAAGTAATTCCAGAACTTTATCCACAGCTAAACTACAATTATTACCACTTATCTGACCATTTTCTTCATTTCATAAATATATTTAAGAACCACATTTGCTTGCATAATGGTTACCTCAATATAATACACATTTAGTTTGGAGTAACAGAGAAAACAGGTCAATAATAACTGCATAAAGTTCACAGGACCCAGTTGGTTGCCTCAGGCAATGTGTTAAAATGCAGCTGGTTTTCTAAATAACTTATGTTTATTTCAAGTACTAGGTCTGAGGCTCAATGGCTGAATTGCTATCTAGAAATGAATACACGGATATGGGGAGCACGAAGAAGCAGGGGCAGGCATCATGGCAGGAGCCAGGCAAACATATATTCTTCATATTTTATTCTGTGCAAAAGTAACTGACTACATTCAATAGCTGTTTATGACATTTGCAAAAGCTTAGTTTCTATGAAGTTGGAGTAAGGCGAGTTGTGTTTTACAAAAGTAGTAACTTGAGGCATAGTCTTGAGCCCCATAAAACCAGGTTACTTACTTCTAGAAAAGAGTAATCAGGCAAGCAGGGAATTTTTTTTTCTTTCTCATTTACCCATTACTTAACTGGCATTCCTTAAAGCACCAAGCATCTCTTCATGAACATAAAATTAATAAGATTCCTGTGATATAAAAAAAACACCCTATTCTCACTTTTTCTCCTAGAAACCTGGATAAACTTTCTAATCTCAGTGATTTAGGACAAATTAAGTAGACCCCCTTATTGTATATAATTCAGCCTGTGGACTCCCCACATCCTTCAGTTGACACCAATGTGATCAGATCTCCTCAGACACACCTCAGTCCACAAATCCATCTCATTTCCAAGATAAGGTACTCTGCTGGGATGGCAGCTCTGCATGCTCCATCAGGCCGCATTTGGAAAGTAGTTAAACTTACACTCCTTCTTTACCAGAAACTAACAAGTCCCCTGAATCTGTCCTCACATAATGGCTGCACTCTCTTGATATAGTCACATCCCTATTTGGGCACGGGTGATGGTGTACTACAAAGTGAGACCTCCAGCATGTTTGCCATTGAATCTATAGAGGTTCAAAGGAACATTTTGCTCCTGTAACTGACCAGCACAGTTATATGCTCAGTCTTATGGAGAGTGCCTGAGAGCAAGCTGTCTTCCTAAAGCTTTACTGATCAGACAAGTGCACAAAGAACACCAGGTTGAATAATTTGACCAAAATGAATGACCCATAATATTTTGAAAGTTTCATCTTTCAAAAATGGGAAAATGCTGGCTTAATCACAAGATCAAGAATATTACGAAAGATATATTAGTACTTTACATGCATTAATTCTATTATAATGCCTATTTTTAATAGTTCTATTGAATTTAAAGACATTTTATTTATCTTAATATATAGCTTTCTTAATTTATCACAGAGGATGTGAAAAAATGTAGGTCACTCATCAGAGTTTAATTTTCAAAAAAAAAACAGTGGGATAGCAAATTCTTTTTCTCTATTATACATTTAAAGTAGCATAGCAATACATCTAGAAGGTTTTTTGTTATATGTTAGAAATGCTTTACTAAGTGAATACTTTAACTGCTGTTTTATACTTCGTTAGTTTTTGCTGGTGTTTTAAATTTTGCTTTCTGTCATGTAAAATAGATTCAAAACAAACATTCAATGCTATTAAATTTTCAAACTTATTTGAAATAAAAAGGAATATAGTTTTCTAAAACTGGGATCTAGTTGAAGATTCTAATATTTAGTGCCATTAAATATTACTCTATTGCCACCTACTCCTAGTTCCCAAATGCCCTTTGTATATTCAATTTTATCTGCCGAACTAATTAATAGTCTATGATATTGGCTCAAGAGAAAAACACAGAGCCATCTTAAATTTTCTAAAGAAGTTGCCAAATTGTTCTATTTAATTTTTAACAAATTATTTGAAATTATTTAATTATTGTTATTGGCCATACTGAGGAACTTATTCTAATGATGATATTGAGATATTAAAAATAATTACCTCTCAGTGGATAGATTCTACCCTCATTTACTTTGTTATCTATGGTTTCTATAATATTTAATTTTTTACTACCTTTTCAATTTCAACGCATTGTTTTTTCCTCTGAAAACCCTCATATGATTGAATAACCAGTCTCTGAAAATCTAACTACAGTATTACATTGTGTTCCTGAATTACTGGCAACAAGCAGGCCATCTAGCTTCTGAGGTTAGGATCACCTTATTCTGAGGTACTGCACAAACGTATAATGGAAGTACACTTTTTCTGAAGTAATCACTACCAAGTATCACCGATCATAAGTTCATTCAATTTACCTTCAAAATCTTTCAGATCCAAGCATCTTGTAAATGTATAGAAAGAAAAGTAATGGGAGGGAAGAAGCAATGACATGCAATGTCAAGTTTCTAGCCAGTCTATAAAACCTCATTTAGTTGACTCTCTCTCAGCACCAGCTGTAACCCAATTAAATTCAACAGTGCACAGGTGTTCACAGGAATGACTAACACGAAAGCATACTTCCCTTTAGGGCTCTTAAAAAATTAGAGTTCTTTAATTTCCATACACCTTCAAAATCAAACCAAACAATAAAATATTGAAAAAAAGAAATTAGATACAGCAGGAGAAAAACACAATCAGGATGAGCTATAACCCAATTAAGCTGAATAGCACTCAGGTGTTTACAAGAGCACACTCACTCAAAATTTTACCAACACAAATTAACTTTAATATATCTTAAGATTGACAACGAATATCCATTTGTCTTCAGGTTACTTTGAAATGAGAGTTTTCTGAATTCAGTTTCATAAAAGTGGATTTCATTGCAAAATATAATACGACAAAAAATATAGATTTTCATCTAAATATCCCATCAAGGGCACTTACTTTAAAATATCCATTTTAGTTCAGCAGAGGCACTCAATATAGATTTCAATTTTTACTTACATTCCTTGAATTTCATGCATGGTTCAAAAAATACTCTTTTTGTTCAGGAAAAGAACCCAACTATTTGGCATATTCTTTTCTAATTTTTATCAATTATTTAAATAACAAAACTTAAGATCCTAGAGAGATCTAGTAGAATAGGTATGTCTCCATTATGTGTTATTTACTGCATATTTATAATACCAATAATATCAGTACCGAGACAGAAGAGTTAGTTTCCTTTAATGTGGATCTGAAAGGCTGTCAGTCCTATTCATGATTCAGATTTGCTTAGTAGAAATAATTATGTGCTGATTTTATTAGAAAATTGTCCATTATCTATTACTCCATTGGTTTGCAAGGTGTGATTCCAAACTACCAGCATCAGCTATATCTGAGAACTTGTTAAAAATACACCACCTCAGCCCTATATCTGACTTCCTTTATCAAAAACTCGAGGGGTGGGGCCTAGCCATCTCTTTATCACTTTACACAAGCCCTTCAAGTGATTCTGAGGCACTCTTGAGAATCACTTGTCTATTCAAATTCTGCCTTGAAGTAGATCAGAAAAATGTGGAAAACCCCCTTTATACCATGGTGACTTTTGGAATAAATCAAAACTTATCAGATCATTGCTATTTTCCACATCCATACACATGACTAAATATCTAAATATAAATGCATCATTTCAACATTTCCAGATTTTAACTACTATTCAAAAAATGTGCATGTTTTACACATAGTAACTGTGCAAATGAGCTAATATATATGACTCTAAAGAAAAACCCCCAAACCAGTATACAATTATTATCAGAAACATCACTGCTACACACAGATATATGAACTGCTTATATTATCCCTAGAAATTTCATCTTTAGCTGGATTATGCAATCTTTATGAAATTCTAAGATTTAATACAATTTGAAGTTACTCCTTATTTTATAGTTCAAATAGGAAAAAAAATCACAAAAGAAAATACATTTATTTCTATAATGTGTAAGTGTGTGTGTGTGTGTGTGTGTGTGTGCATGTGTAGGTTTCATATTGCTAACTAGTTTTGGTATGTCTACACCAGAAAATATAAGAGTTTTATTATTTGGCTGCTACTTTTTTGCTTAATCTCAGAGAGAGAAAAATGTGCAAAGAGAAATATCCTGCTATTTTCAGTTCTAAATTTATATTTTTCAAGAGATATCTTTTACGAGATGTCAATTTTTAAAATACTTTTACCCTGAGATGCAAAATAATGCACAATTTTGAAAAATTAGTTCATTCCTAGCATACTCAGATGGTATTTAATAAACTCAATACTATGATGTGACAGTATCTATTTCAAATACTACAAATAGAGTACAATTGCTGTATCGATGGGCACATATGAATAATATGTCTATATGTCTATATATGTGTATATATATGTATTGTATGTATGTATGTTTATGTGTATATGTACATATGTGCATAAATGTATATAATAATTTTTCAACTTTTCAAGTTCCTAAGATCAGTATGATCTTAGAGGTTGAAAAATTAAATTGAAAAATATTTAATGAAAATGATCACGGCCAACATAGCAGATTACACATTCTTCTCAGCCTCACATAGAACATTTTCTAAAACAGACCAAATTCTGGGCCACCAAACACAACTTAACAAATTTAAAAGAATATATATTACACAATATCTGCTTTCAGACACAATGGAACTAAACAAGAAGTTAGCAACAGACTGCTGGCAAATCCCAAAATTCTAGAGATTAAATAACATATCTCTAGGTAACAAATGGATGAGGCTGAGCATGGTGGCTTATGCCTATAATCTCAGCACTTTGGGAGGACATGGCGGGTAGATCACTTGAGCCCAGGAATTCAAGACCAGCCTGGGCAACATAGGGACACACCATCTGTACAAAAAAATAAAAAATTAGTGAGGCGTGGTGGCACACGCCTGTAGTCCCAGCTGCTCTGATGGCTGAGGTTCAAGGATCACTTGAGCCCAGGAGGTAGAGGCTGCACTGAGCCATGATCGTGCCACTGCATTCTAGCCTGGGTGACAGAGTGAGATGCTGTCTCAATAAAAAATAAAAATAACAGATAGGTGAAATCTCTGGAGAAATTTAAAAATATTTGAACTAGATGAGAGTGAAATATAATTTATTAAATTTTTTAGAATGCAATGCAGCAGTGGTTAGAGGAGAATTTATAGCACAGAACTCATATATTAGAAAAGAAGAACAATCTAAAATCAATCATCTAAGTTTCCACCTTAATAAATTAAATCCTAAGTAAGCATAATTAAAAAAAACATGAAAATTAGAGTAGAAAATAACTTAAAACAGGAAATAGAGAAAATCAACAAAGCCAAAAGATGATCCTTGAAAAGATCAATAATATCAATAAGCCTCTAGCTAAGCTAACTAAGAAAAAAAGACAGAAGGCACAAATTACTAAAATCAGAAGTGAGATAGGAGATATAACTACAGACCTCATGGAAACTGAAGGGATAATAAATATGAACAGCTCTAGGCCCATGTATTTGATAAGCTAAATAAAATGAACTAATTCCTTGGAGAACATAATCCGCCAAAACTCACTCAAGAAAAAATAAACAATCTGACTAGGCCTACATTTATCAAAGAAGTTGAATCGGTAACCAATAACCTTCCAAAACAGAAACCACAGTGCCCAGATGGGTTCACTGGTGAATTCTACCAAACATCTAAGGAGAAAATTATACAAATTCTCTACACTATCATTCAGAAGATAAAAGTATAAGGAATACTTCATATATATATATATAAATAAAATACTTTAAGTTCTAGGGTACTTGATTCATTCCATGAGATCAGCATTTTACCCTAATACCAAAATCAGACAAATGCATTGAAAAAACTAAAACCACAGAGTGATACCTTTCTTTAACACATACACAAAACTCTTTAACATAATTAGCAAATAAAATCCAACAATATATGAAAAGAATTATAATACAGCATGATCAAGTGTGATTTACCCCAGGTTCAACATTTGAAAATAAATTATTATCATCCATCACATCAGCAGGCTAAAGAGGAAAAATCACATCATTATAGATTATATAAATATATGCAGAAAAAGCATTTGACAATATCCAATGGCCAACCATGATAAAATAAAATTTAAAAAAAACTCTTATCAAAAAAGCAATAGGAAAACTTCCTCAAATTGAGTTTTTTAAAAATCTACAAAAAACCTACAGCTAACATCAGGCTTAATGGTTAGAAACTCAAAATTTTCTCAGTAAGATCAGAAACGAGGCAAGGATGTCCCTTTCCACCACTGGAAAGGAAATAAAACATACGTAGGTTAGGAAGGAAGAAATAAAACTGTCTTTGTCACAGATATATGAAGATACATGATTGTATATTCACAAAATCCCAAATAATCTACAAAAAATTTCTGGAACTAGTGATTATAACAATGCACAGGAAATAATATACAAAATCATCTGCTTTTCTATACACAGCAATTAACAAGTGGCATTTGAAATTAAAACCACATAACCATTTGTATTAGCACCCCAAAAATAAAATACTTAAGTAAAAATCTAATACAATATGTCTAACAAGATTTACATGAGGCAAACTATAAACTTTGAGAAATAGATCAAAGAGAAACTAAATCAATGAACAGATATTCTCTGTTCCTGAACAGAAAGGCTCAATATTGTCAAGATGTCAATTATTAACCTGAACTACAGATTCAACACAATCCCCACCGAAATCTCAGCAAGTTGTTTTGTCGATATTTACAAACTGATTCTAAAGTTTATATGGAGAAACAAAAGACCCAGAATAACCAACTCAATATTGAAGGGAAAAAAAACAAAGTTAGAAGACGGACACTACCTAACTTTGAGACCTATTATAAAGCTACAGTAATCAGAGACAATGATTGATATTGGCAAATGAATAAGCAAATAGGTAATGGAATGGAAAAGAGAACCCAGAAATAGACCCACATACATATAGCCAACTGATTTTTGACAAAGGAGCAGTGGCAATACAATGGAACAAAGATAGTCTTTTCAACAAATGGTGCTGGAAAAACTGGACAACCACATGCAAAAAACAAAACAAAAAAAATGAATCTAGGCACTGATCTTAACACTCTTCACAAAAATTAACTCAAAATAGATCATAGATCCAAATGTAAATTTTAAAACCATAAGTTCCCTAGAAGATGACTGAGGACAAAACCTAGATAACCTTAGGTATAATGTTGAATTTTTAGATATAACACCAATTCATACATCAGACTTCATTAAAATTCAGAAACTCTGCCCTGCAAAAGACAATGTTAAAAGAATTGGAAGCCAAGCCACAAACTGTGAGGAAGTATTTGTAAAAGGCATATCTGATAAAAGATTGTTATTCAAAATATATAAATAATACTTAAAATTTAACAATAAGAAAACAATCCAATTAAAACGTGGACCAAAGACCTGAACACGTACCTCACCAAAAAAGATACACAGGCATTTTCAAACCGATTCTAAAGTTTATATGGAGAAACAAAAGACCCAGAATAACCAACTCAATACTGAAGGGAAAAAAAACAAAGTTAGAAGACGGACACTACCTAACTTTGAGACCTATTATAAAGCTACAGTAATCAGAGACAATGATTGATATGTAGGTTAGGAAGGAAGAAATAAAACTGTCTTTGGAAAATAAGCACATGAAAAGATGTTCCACATCATGTGTCATCAGGAAATGCACATTAAAACAACCAGATACCACTACACACCTATAAGAATGGCCAAAATCGAAATCACTGACAACACTAAATGTTGGCAAAAATTTGGAACAATAGGAACCCTCAATCATTGGTGATGGGAATGTAAAATTATATAGCCACTTTGGAAGAGTTTTTCAGTTTCTTACAAAGTAAACATATAGTTTCCCTATGTTCCAGCAATTGTGTTCCTTGGTCTTTGCCCAAATGAATTGAAAATCACGTTCACTCAGATAATGGTACAATTATTAAAACATCTATTATATATCCATAATTTGATTATCCCATTTTGGTGTGTATATATTTATACAGCTATTGACTTATTTATAAAATTAAGACAAGAAAAATTTTTAACAAAGGGGATCTCTGATCAGAGGTTATGGCAGCTTTTCTTGGTGCTTTAATAAATACCAATGTTCAAAATGAAACATATCAAGCTGGGTGTGGTGATTCATGCCTGTAATCTCAGCACTTTGGGAGGTTGAGGCAGGTGGATCACTTGAGGTCAGGAATTCAAGACCAGCTTTTGCCATTTCATTATCAATTGATCAATAATGATATTTTTCTCTAGTTAAGAAAACATATTGTTTATTTTGATAGGGTGAACTAATTGTTACAATAAAATGAAAAAGTGTTACTTTATTAGAATTGCTGTCAATACTGCAAGTAACATTTTTTTTCTACATTTCATGAATAATAGTCTAAAGTCCTATAGAAAACAATAGGCAAAATGTAGAAAAGTTATTAAAGAATTACCTGTCTTTTAAGTTTAATTTAAATGCTCCTTCAAGAACTTTTAACTGTTTTCCCATCCAGATGCAATCACTTCCACCTCTGAACATTTACAGTATGTTCTTATCTCTCTTATCTGTCTTATCATTTTTTTATCATTTAGTTAACTCCTTGTTCCCCTTAATCTATAAGTTACTAAATCATGCATTGCCTTGTAATACACAGAAAGGTACAGAGGCCCTAGTAGCCCCATCTTGTAGACAAGAAAATGGAGACCAAAGCCTCAAGGAAATCTTACTCACAAAATTAGTTAGATACTTAAACATTTAGGAGCATTTAATATATATGGCTTCCTTCATAAGCTAAAGTATAATATTTCATAGATTTTGATATATCTTCTTAAATGTTCAGACATAAATGATGATCAAATCATTTTTTTCTCAGTGTCCTAAGTATTTTACAGTTAAATTGTCTCCTTATTAAGATTTCAGGGACTAAATGACAGAAATCTAATTTTTAAAAACATTATAGCTGAAAATCTCTTCAAGCTTTCAGAAAAGTTGCAAAATCAAGGAAAAACATGTAGTCTTACTGAGATTCACCCATTGTTAATATTTGCCCTATTTGCATCATTTGTCTCTCTCTTTATAAAGGTATGTTTGTGTGTATGTCTATGTATATATTTTTATCCCTAAATAATAAATATTTTGGTATATATTTATAAACAAGGGCATCCTCTTGCAGAATCACAGTTTCATTATCAACTTCAGAAAATTTAACATTACTACAATATTTTCATTTAATCTATCAACAATATTCACATTTTATGAATGATCTTAATTTTGTTCTTTATAAGACTGCTGTTTTTCCTCCTATACAGGATCCTGTCGAGGATTATGTATTACATTTGGTTGCCATGTCTTTTTAGTCCCCATAAATCTGGAACATTTCCTCATCCATTCTTTTTCTATCATGATATTTACATTTTTGAAGAATATGAGGGTTTATGCATCTTTTTTGTTTCCTTAATATAATATTTCACATTTTGAGTTTGTCTGGTGTTTGCTCATGATTAAATGCAGGCTATATATACATGTATATATGTGGGAAGGCTAATACATAAGAGACGCTGTGTGCTTTGTAGGCTGTCACATGCAGAAACAAAGTTCATTGCTTTCATTTACAATCACCTGGATAAAGTGCCGTCCAGCTTCCCCAGTCTAGAGTTACTATTTTTTCTTTTCCAACTTATTGGCAGTCTGTAGGAGGACACTTTAAACCATGCTCCGCATCATAATTTCCCATAGACTTATCATCCATTGATGATCCTTACTCTTGACTAACCTTTATTATGGTGGTTGCAAAGTGATGATTTTCCAACTCTAGTACCATCTACACATTTATCAATTGATATTCTACTATAAGGGAAAGCCCTCTCTTCTTCCACAGTTATGTATTTATTCAATTAAATAATCCATCTATTTGCCATCTCTTTAATACTAATATAGACTCATGAATTCTGTTGTTAAACAATTTATTATTCCTTGCTATCCTTAATTATTTGGAGATTAAATTATCTCAGATTTTACAGTGAGAGCTCCTTCAAGATATCCCCTGTGACCTTTTGATAAACTCCTATAATTTTTTCAACATTTATTATCTGACATCAAAAGTTTCTCCAGGCTTACCTTGGACTCTTGTTGCCCCAGTTCTGTAATCAGCCATTTCTTGGTGGAACCCTGGGTCCATTCACTGGGGAATGGTATTTAAAAAAAAAACAGGATTCAGGGCACTAAAAGTGCTCATTATTCTTGGGTGTCAGAGCTTGAATATCTGTTTACTAAGAGGGCCTAGAAGCATATATGTATGCATTTGTGTGTGTGAGTGTACATATACATATATATGTATGTGTGTGTGTGTATGTATAAATACACATGGATATACACGTATATTTATATGTATGTAAAAACAAACATACACATATGTATCCGAAATCATGACTTCTTACTGATAACATTAATTCCAATCTATCTCATGGGGTTTTCCCTTGCCTTCCTAAATTCTACATTTGTATCTCCCTTCTTCCAAAAATACACGTAGAATTTTGGAATTGCTTTACCAATACCACTAAAATAAGAAAACTACTCCTAGAAGTTTTTTGTCCACTTTTCCCTTACCCCGTGGCAACAAAGGGGGCAGGCAATAAAATCCAAAGTCACAAAAATTAAGCTTTTTTTTTTCCTTTTTCTATGTCCCCTTTCAGTTTACTAATGCTATTCATTTGAAAACAATTGTGTTCACTGGCTTATCAGTTTTAGTTTTTTGTTTACTTCCTATCTCTTTAAATTTTTTAAATATATAAACATTAACCTCCATCTAAAAGTCAGAACAATGCAGAAAAGCATAGTCAGAGAAGCATCAGGAGCTCCCCTGTTCCTCCTGCTCCATGCTGCATCTATGTGTACCAGCTTAGCTTTTCTGTTTCTTTTTATTCAGATAAGTTGGTATATGCATATTGTTATTTCCTCCTCTTTATTACTCAAAAGGAAACATACTACATGTTCTTTTTTGCACTTTGTTTTTTTCACTTATCATCTTTTGAAAAATCACCCCATACCTTTCATAAATATCTTCCTCATTCTTTTTACAGATGCTTAATACTCCATTGTATGTTTTTACCATAGTTTATTCAACTAAGTTTGGATATTTTCATAATTTCCAATATTTTACAACTATAAATCATTTTTCAATGAATAACCTTGTATTTTTGTACTATTGGGCCTGTATCTTCAGGATAAATTCCTGAAAGTGCAATTCCTGGAGTCAAAGATAAATGCACAAATAGTTTTTCTTATATATTGCCAAGTTCTCTTCCATAGGGTTTCACTACTCTTCATTCCCAGATGCAATGCATGAGAATGACTGTTTCCCACAGCCTTGCCAACAGTGTATTTTCAAATTTTTGAGATTTTGTCAATATCATAGGTATCTCAGTGTAGTTTTGCTTTTCCGTTTTTCTCATCATTTAAAGTTGAATCTCTTTTCAGCTATTTAACAGTCTACTGCCTATTTGTATCTTCCGTAAATATTTTCTCTAAATTTTTATTTGTCCTTTGACTTTGCCTACGGTGCACTTTGTCATGAAAAGTTTTTGTGTCTGTCAGTGAAATTTAACAATCTGTAATTTTGTTGCATCTGAATATTGAGTCAA
Organism: Homo sapiens; assembly: GCF_000001405.40. Lineage (NCBI taxonomy): Eukaryota > Metazoa > Chordata > Mammalia > Primates > Hominidae > Homo > Homo sapiens. Next base: position 91,384,672 of record NC_000004.12, on the reverse strand, counting down.
TTCAGAAAGCATTTCTATATAGTCATATTATATAAGATATACCCTTACATTCACCCAGAACTTGTTTCATTGTTTACATTTAATTCTCTCAACCATTTTTATATTATTCTTGCACATAATGTGAGTAATATATCTAATTGTATCTTATCCTAAATGACATTTTGTTATCCTAACAGCATTTATTTTTTTAAAAAAAAAGATTTTTGACTGTTTAAAATCATTTCAAAAATGCTTTTGAAAAATCTAATATCATGTTGCATTTTAATCTCATAAATAATAATAAAAAATAACGGAAACGCTCATTTATCAGTGTGTTTCTTTAAATATTGGAATTGTTTTCCCAGTTACTTTAACAGTTTTCTAAAATGTAAACTTATTTATCTGCAATACATTTTTGTCAACCATGGATTCACTCAGCCAAACTACAAAGATTTTGTAGATCTAGGTGTTAGGTTTTCTATCTTCCAGTAAAGATCCACTTGAATATCATTCATTTACAGTGACTCATTGGAATCCTACTCCACAAAAGAAGATTAAATTAACCAGCAATATTTAGGGCAAACATCCATTATATAGTAGTTGGAAACATTCACAAAAAAAATTCACTTTAGCTACAGCAACTGGAACAGGAATAGATTACCCACTGGGAGCCAAAGTTGATTCTTTAACAAAAACTGCAGGTTTGCTCACAGCCCTTCAGCACAATCTTCCAACAGCAGTGTTGGGATTTTAAAATTAAGTCTATTGCTGAGATCCATTAAAAAAATTTGTCTTTTTTGTGGTTTACAAAAGTGAAAACACTTTATGCAACACTCTACTTGCTACCTAATGGTTGTCCCTCAAGATGTCAACAATTCTGTGTAATGTAATAAAAATAAATATTCAGGCTATATTCCTTTTTCTTCACTTAATATATTTTAATCTTGTCCCTCCCACCCTCAATAAGAAACAAATAAAGTGTAATGGGGATTAGCAAATTTATTCTATACGGAGCAACATAGTAAATATTTCAGGCTTTGCAAGCCAAATGTTTTCTGTTGTAATTACTCAACTTTGAAACTATAGCACAAAAGTGGCTATAGTTTGTCCTAAAAAATATGATTGAACTATTTATCCTAAACTCTTAAAGTTTCACTAGTATTTACATCTTAGAATAACTCCAGTTAAATTTATTAAGAAGCATAAATTCAAAAAATTTGCCCCAAAGTTGAGGCTTTAAAGGAGTACTGTTTCCCTAGTTACAAGCAGCATCTCATATTTGTTATCATATTGTTTTAATTTGTTAACTCTCACCTTCTGATCTCCTTTTTGAAAAAAAAAAGTGAGATAACATGAAGAAAAAATGGTTAGGAAAGCTTGAAGAATGAATGATTGTGATACTTCATATTAAGAAAATGTCTTTAAAATGCTCAATACCTTTATCATATAATTACCATCTTTTTGGCCTTTGAACTTAATGCACAATACAGGCATACATCAATATTGCAGGTTTGGTAGCTGATGACTGCAATGAAGTGAATGTTGCAATAAACTGAATCACACAATTTTTTTCGTTTTCCAGTGAATGTAAAAGTTATGTTTATGCTACACTGATAATACTGAATGTGTAATATCATTATGTTAAAAATGTAGATATCTTAATTTAAAAATCCTTTATTGCTAAAAAAAAAAAATGATAATGATCATCTGAGTCTTCAGGGAGTCAGAATCTTTTTTCTGGTGGACAGTCCTGCCTCGATATTGATGGATGCTAACTTAATCAGGGCTGTGGTTGCTGCTAGTTTGGGTGGCTGTGGGCCATTCTTAAAATAAGACAAGGGAGCAATTCCAAGACGGCCAAATAGGAAGAGCTCCAGTCTACAGCTCCCAGCATGAGCGACGCAGAAGACGGGTGATTTCTGCATTTCTAACTGAGGTACCAGGTTCATCTCACTGGGGCTTGTCAGACAGTGGGTGCAGGACAGTGGGTGCAGTCCACCAAGTGTGAGCCAAAGGAGGGTGAGGGATCGCCTCACCCAAGAAGCGCAATGGGTCAGGGAATTCCCTTTCCTAGCCAAGGGAAGCTGTGGCAGATGGCACCTGGAAAATCAGGTCACTCTCACCCTAATACTGCACTTTTCCAATGGTCTTAGCAAATGGCACACCAGGAGATTATATCCCATGCCTGGCTCAGAGGGTCCCATGACCATGGAGCCTCACTCATTGCTAGCACAGTAGTCTGAGATCGAACTGCAAGACAGCAGCGAGGCTGAGGGCCAGGTGCCCGCCATTGCTGAGGCTTGAGTAGGTAAACAAAGCAGCCAGGAAACTCAAACTGGGTGGAACTCACTGCAGCTGAAGGAGGCCTGCCTGCCTCTGTAGACTCTACCCATGGGGGCAGGCCATAGCCGAACAAAAGGCAGCAGAAACCTCTGCAGGTTTCCTTATCCCATAAATGTCCCTGTCTGACAGCTGTGAAGAGAGTAGTGGTTCTCCCAGCATGGCCTAACTGGGAGGAACCCCCCAGTAGAGGCAGACTGACACCGAACACAGCTGGGTACACCTCTGAGACAAAGCTTCCAGAGGAACGACTAGGCAGCAACATTTGCTGTTCAGCAATATCCACTGTTCGGCAGCCTCCACTGCTGACACCCAGGCAAACAGGATCTGGAATGGGCCTCCAGCAAACTCCAACAGAGTTGGAACCTTCAGTTGCAGCTGAAGGTCCTGACTGTTAGAAGGAAAACTAAGAAACAGAAAGGACATCTACACCAAAACCCCATCTGTACATCACCATCATCAAAGACCAAAGGTAGATAAAACCATGAAGATGGGGATAAAACAGAGCAGAAAAGCTGAAAGTTCTAAAAATCAGAGTGCCAGTCACCCTCCAAAGAAACTCAGATCCTCACCAGCAATGGAGCAAAGCTGGACAGAGAATGACTTTGACGAGTTGAGAGAAGAAGGCTTCAGACAATCAAACTTCTCCGAGCAAAGGAGGAAGCTTGAACCCATCACAAAGAAGCTAAAAACCTTGAAAAAAGATTAGACGAATGGCTAACTAGAATAATCAGTGTAGAGAAGTCCTTAAATGACCTGATGGAGCTGAAAACCATGGCACGAGAACTACCTGATGAATGCACAAGCTTTAGTAGCCGATTTGATCAATGGGAAGAAAGGGTATCAGTGATTGAAGATCAAATAAATGAAATGAAGTGAGAAAAGTTTACAGAAAAAAGAGTAAAAATAAATGAACAAAGCCTCGAAGAAATATGGGACTATGTGAAAAGACCAAATCTAGGTCTGATTGGTGTACCTGAAAGTGACGGGGAGAATGGAACCAAGTTGGAAAACACTCTGCAGGATATTATCCAGGAGAACTTCCCCAATCTAGCAAGGCAGGCCAACATTCAGATTCAGGAAACCCAGAGAATGCCACAAAGATACTCCTCGAGAAGAGCAACCCCAAGACACATAATTGTCAGATTCACCAAAGTTGAAATGAAGGAAAAAATGTTAACGGCAGCCATAGAGAAAGGTCAGGTTACCCACAAAGGGAAGCCCATCAGAGTAATGGCGGATCTCATGGCAGAAGCTCTATAATCCAGAAGAGAGTGGGGGCCAATATTCAACATTCTTAAAGAAAAGAATTTTCAACTCAGAATTTCATAACCAGCCAAAATAAGCTTCATCAGTGAAGGAGAAATAAAATCCTTTATAGACAAGCAAATGCTGAGAGATTTTGTCACCACTAGGCCTGTCCTATAAGAGCTCCTGAAGGAAGCACTAAACATGGAAAGGAACAACCAGTACCAGCCACTGCAAAAACATGACAAATTGTAAAGAACATTCATGCTGGGAAGAAACTGCATCAACTAAGGAGCAAAATAACCAGCTAATATCATAATGACAGGATCAAATTCACACATAACAATATTAGCCTTAAATGTAAATGGGCTAAATGCTCCAATTAAAAGACACACACTGGCAAATCAGATAAAGAGTCAAGACCCATCAGTGTGCTGTATTCAGGAGATCCATCTCACATGCAGAGACACACAAAGGCTCAAAATAAAGGGAAGGAGGAAGATGTACCAAGCAAACGGAAAACAAAAAAAGGCAGGGTTGCAATCCTAGTCTCTGATAAAACAGACTTTAAACCATCAAAGATCAAAAGAGACAAAGAAGGACATTACATAACGGTAAAGGGATCAATTCAACAAGTAGAGCTAACTATCCTAAATATATATGCACCCAATACAGGAGCACCCATATTCATAAAGCAAGTCCTTAGAGACCTACAAAGAGACTTAGACTCCCACACAATAATAATGGGAGACTTTAACACCTCACTGTCAACATTAGACAGATCAATGAGACAGAAAGTTAAAAAGGATATTCAGGAATTGAAGTCAGTTCTGCACTAAGTGGACCTAATAGACATCTACAGAACTCTCCACCCCAAATCAACAGAATATATATTATTCTCAGCACCACATCGCACTTATTCCAAAATTGACCACATAGTTGGAAGTAAAGCACTCCTCAGCAAATGTAAAAGAACAGAAATTATAACAAACTGTCTCTCAGACCACAGTGCAATCAAACTAGAACTCAGGATTAAGAAACTCACTCAAAACTGCTCAACTACACGGAAACTGAACAACCTGCTCCTAAATGACTACTGGGTACATAACGAAATGAAGGCAGAAATAAAGATGTTCTTTGAAACCAACAAGAACAAACACACAACATACCAGAATCTCTGGGACACATTTAAAGCAGTGTGTAGAGGGAAATTTATAGCACTTAATGCCCACAAGAGAAAGCAGGAAAGATCTAAAATTGACACCCTAACATCACAATTAAAAGAACTAGAAAGCAAGAGCAAACACATTCAAAATCTAGCAGAAGGCAAGAAATAACTAAGATCAGAGCAGAACTGAAGGAGATAGAGACACAAAAATCCCTTCAAGAAATCAATGAATCCAGGACCTGGTTTTTTGAAAAGATCAACAAAAATGATAGACCACTAGCAAGATGAATAAAGCAGAGAGAAGAATCAAGTAGATGCAATAAAAAATGATAAAGGGGATATCACCACCAATCCCACAGAAATACAAACTACCATCAGAGAGTACTAGAAACACCTCTATGCAAATAAACTAGAAAATCTAGAAGAAATGGATAAACTCCTGGACACATACACCCTCCCAAGGGTAAACCAGGAAGAAGTTGAATCCCTGAATAGACCAATAACAGGCTCTGAAATTGAGGCAATAATTAAGAGCCTACCAACCAAAAAAAAGTCCAGGACCAGACGGATTCACAGCCGAATTCTACCAGAGGTACAAGGAGGAGCTGGGACCATTCCTTCTGAAACTATTCCAATCAATAGAAAAAGAGGGAATCCTCCCTAACTCATTTTATGAGGCCAGCATCATCCTGATACCAAAGCCTGACAGAGACACAACAAAAAAAGAGAATTTTAGACCAATATCCCTGATGAAGATCGATGCAAAAATCCTCAATAAAATCGTGGCAAACTGAATCCAGCAGCACATCAAAAAGCTCATCCACCATGATCAAGTGGGCTTCATCCCTGGGATGCAAGGCTGGTTCAACATATGCAAATCAATAAACATAATCCAGCATATAAACAGAACCAAAGACAAAAACCACTTGATTATCTCAATAGATGCAGAAAAGGCCTTTGACAAAATTCAACAGCCCTTCATGCTAAAAACTCTCAATAAATTAGGTATTGATGGGACATATCTCAAAATAATAAGAGCTATCTATGGCAAACCCACAGCCAATATCATACTGAATGGGCAAAAACTGGAAGCATTCCCTTTGAAAACTGGCACAAAACAGGGATGCCCTCTCTTACCACTCCTATTCAACATAGGGTTGGAAGTTCTGGCCAGGGCAATAAGGCAGGAGAAAGAATTAAAGGGTATTCAGCTAGGAAAAGAGGAAGTCAAATTGTCCCTCTTTGCAGATGACAAGATTGTATATTTAGAAAACCCCATCATCTCAGCCCAAAATCTCCTACAGCTGATAAGCAACTTCAGGAAAGCCTCAGGATACAAAATCAATGTGCAAAAGTCACAAGCATTCTTATACACCAATAACAGACAAACAGAGAGCCAAATCATGAGTGAACTCCCATTTACAATTGCTTCAAAGAGAATAAAATACTTAGGAATCCAACTTACAAGGAATGTGAAGGACTTCTTCAAGGAGAACTACAAACCACTGCTCAATGAAATAAAAGAGGACACAAACAAATGGAAGAACATTCCATGCTCATGGGTAAGAAGAATCAATATCGTGAAAATGGCCACACTGCCCAAGGTAATTTATAGATTCAATGCCATCCACATCAAGCTACCACTGACTTTCTTCACAGAATTGGAAAAATCTACTTTAAAGTTCATATGGAACCACAAAAGAGCCTGCATGGCCAAGACAATCCTAAGCCAAAAGAACAAAGTTGGAGGCATCACGCTACCTGACTTCAAACTATACTACAAGGCTACGGTAACCAAAACAGCATGGCACTGGTACCACAACAGAGATATAGACCAATGGAACAGAACAGAGCCCTCAGAAATAATACCACACATCTACAACCATCTGATCTTTGACAAATCTGACAAAAACAAGAAATGGGGAAAGAATTCTATATTTAATAAATGGTGCTTGGAAAACTGGCTAGCCATATGTAGAAAGTTGAAACTGGATCCCTTCCTTACACCTTATACAAAAATTAATTCAAGATGGATTAAAGACTTAAATGTTAGACCTAAAACCATAAAAACCCTAGAAGAAAACCTAGGCAATACCATTCAGGACATAGGCATGGGCAAGGACTTCATGTCTAAAACACCAAAAGCAATGGCAACAAAAGCCAAAATAGGCAGATGGGATCTAATTAAACTAAAGAGCTTCTGCACAGCAAAAGAAACTACCATCAGAGTGAACAGGCAACCTACAGAGTGGGAGAACATTCTTGCAATCTACTCATCTAACAAAGGGCTAATATCCAGAATCTCCAAAGAACTCAAACAAATTTACAAGAAAAAAACAAACAACCCCATCAAAACGTGGGCAAAGGATATGAACAGACACTTCTCAAAAGAACACACTTATGCAGCCAACAAATACATGAAAACATGCTCACATCACTGGCCATCAGAGAAATGCAAATCAAAACCACAATGAGATACCATCTCACACCAGTTAGAATGGTGATCATTAAAAAGTCAGGAAACAACAGGTGCTGGAGAGGATGTAGAGAAATAGGAACACTTTTACACTGTTGGTGGGACTGTAAACTAGTTCAACCATTGTGGAAGACAGTGTGGCGATTCCTCAAGGATCTAGAACTAGAAATACCATTTGACCCAGCTGTCTCATTACTGGGTATATACCCAAAGGATTATAAGTCATCCTGCTATAAAGACACATGCACATGTATGTTTATTGCGGCACTATTCACAATAGCAAAGACTTGGAACCAACCCAAATGTCCAACAATGATAGACTGGATTAAGAAAATGTGACACATATATACCATGGAATACTATGCAGCCATAAAAAATGATGAGTTCATGTCCTTTGTAGGGACATGGATGAAGCTGGAAACCGTCATTCTCAGCAAACTATCGCAAGGACAAAAAACGAAACACCACATGTTCTCACTCATAGGTGGGAATTGAACAATGAGGACAGTTGGACACAGGAAGGGGAACATCACACACTGGGGCCTGTCCTGGGTGGGGGGAGGGATAGTATTAGGAGATATACCTAATGTAAATGATGAGTTAATGGGTGCAGCACACCAACATGGCACATGTATACATATGTAACAAACCTGCACATTGTGCACATGTACCCTAGAACTTAAAGTATAGTAATAAAAAACTACCCTAAACGTTTACTTTGTAAAAATATTTGATAGTGCCTTTTTCTTCACAACATCAAATACAATTATTATTTTTATGTTTGCCCATTAATGGAAAAACTTCATCTCTTAGTTTAATTTGAATAATTTTTTTCTTTAATTTGCATAACTCTGGTTGCTTAATTTGCATAATTCTGATAGTGGTGATGCTTGTCATTTCATATTTTTATTGACCTTTGAAATTTCCTGGTTTATGTACAATCATGTGCCACATAACAACCTTTAATTCAATGATAGACCACATATGTGACAGTGGTCCTATTAGATTATAAAACCATATTTTTTACTGTACCTTTCCTGTGTTTAGATATGTTTAGATACACGAATACTTCCCATTGTGTTACAGTTGTCTACACTATCACATGCTCAAAGGTTCATAGCCTAAGAGCAATAGGCTATGCCATATAGCCTAGGTGTCTAGTAGGCTATTCCATCTAGGCTTGTGTACACTCTTAGGTTGCTTGTACAATGATGCAATCACCTAACAATACATTTCTTAGAACGTATCTCTGTCATTAAGGGACACACGACTGTATTTCCTGTTGGGTCTTTGACCTATTGTCATAATGTTTATCTTATACTTATTTATCGGAATTTTTGTGTTTTATTTTTCTCTTCCCTTAAGTTTGGTTTGGACTTTTCTGCTGATCTAAAGTTTTATGTTTTCCACATAGTTAAGTTTATCTAGAAAGTTCTTTCTCTCCTTCAGATTATAAAAACATTAATCCATCTTTTTAATATATATAATTGTAATTTATAATTTGTTTGGAATTTATTCTGATTTTACCTGTAAAGTAGGGATCTAACTTTGAATAGACTAATTTTCCCCAATGAGGTATAATGCAATATTTTATCAAATACTAAAATTCTATATTAGTACATAGGTCTCTTTCTAGACTTTTGAGTAATCCCTTTGGTTTTGTACCAGTATTAAGTCATTTAGGCTACTGTATTTGTTATTTGTTGAAATAAGTCTTTCTTTTATCAGCTATTTGTTTCACTTTTAAACACAAATGTAAAGGTGTTAAGCCTAAAGTAAAAGGGATTCTTTTACTAAAGTTGTTTCTATCATTGAAGTGAGAAAAATGTAACCAGAGGGTGATGTGGAACTTTCCCCATGAAAAGCATTGTAGTTGAAATGCTAAAAGTTGTGCTTAAAGGGAGTTTAAGTGGCTTTAGTTGTCTTAAAAAAAAAAAAAAAAGACAACAGTGAAGTATCCCACATCAGTTGACACTTCCTTTCATGAAAAATTTCTCTGTAGTGTGTAATGCTGTTTGATAACATTTTACCCACAGTAGAGCTTCTTTCAAAAGTGGAACCGATCCTCTCAAATTTTGCTGCTGCTTTATCAACTAAGTTTATGTAATGTTCTAATTTACTTCTGGTCATTTTAACAATGTTTCGTGCCATCACAAGATGGTAACAATTCAGTCATATCTTCAGGATCCACTTCTAGTTCTCTTGCTACTTCAAATCTATTTGCAATTACTTCCTCCCCTGAACTTTTGAATCCCTCAAAATCATCCATGGAGGCTGGAATCAACATCTTCCAAACTCCTGTTAATGTTGATATTTATACCTCTGCCCATGAATCATGACTGTTCTTAGTGACATCTAGAATAATTAGTCCTTTCCAGAAGGTTTTCAATTTACTTTTACCATGTCTAACAGAGCAATCACTATTGATGGCAGCTATAGCCTTACAAAATGACAATTTTTTTTTTGACAGAGCAAGACTCTCTCTCCCAGGCTGGAATGCAGTGATGAGATGATCTCAGCTCACTGCAACCTCAGCCTACTGGGTTCAAGCAATTCTCCAGCATCAGCCTCCTAAGTAGCTGGTACTACAGGTGTGCACCACCATGCCTGGCTAATTTTTGTATTTTTAGTAGAGATGGGATTTCACCATGTTGGCCAGGCTGGTCTCAAACTCCTGACCTCAAGAGATTCACCCACCTCGGCCTCCCAAAGTTCTGGGATTACAGGCGTGAGCCATCACGCCCGGCCTAAATGTATTTCTAAAATAACAAAACTTGAAAGTCAAAATTATTCCTTGATCCATGAGTTGCAGAATGAATGTTGTGTTAGCAGGCATAAAAACATTAATCTTCTTGTTCATTTCCATCATAGCTCTTAGGTGACTAGGTACATTGTCAATGAGTAGTAATAATTTGAAAGGAATCTTGTTTGCTGTGCACTAGGTCTCAACAATGGGCTTAAAACATTCAGTATCTTTGTTGTAAACAGCAGTGCTGTCATCCAGTCTTTGACATTTCATTTATAGGCCACAGGGAGAATAGATATAGCATAATTCTTAATGGCCCTATGATTTTCAGAATGGTAAATGGACATTTGCTTCAATGTATAGTTACCAGCTGCGTTAGCCTCTAACAGGAGTCATTCCGTCCTTAAAAGCCTTGGAGCCAGGCATTGATTTCTCCTCTCTAGCTATGAAAGTCCTAGATGGCATCTTCTTCCAATACAAACCTGAATGTCTACATTGTAAATATGCTATTTGAAATGCGGCCACCTTCATCAAAATAATCTTAGCTACATCTACTAGATAACTTGCTGCAGCTTCTACATCCTCATCACTGCTTTACCTTGCTCCTTTATGTTATGAAGATGGTGTCTTTTCATAAACCTCATGAACCAACCTCTGCTAGCTTCAAACTTTTCTCTGTGACTTCTTCACCTCTCTCAGCCTTCATAAAATTGAAGACAGTTAGAACCTTGCTCTGAATTAGGCTTTCACTTAACAGAATGTTGTGGCTAATTTGATTTTTTATCCAGACCACTAAAACTTTTTCCATATCAGCAATAAGGCTGTTTCACTTTCTTATCATTCATATGTGCTCTGGAGTAGCATTTTTAATTTCCTCTAAGAACGTTTCCTTTGATTCACAACGTGGCTAATTGCTGGTGCAAGAAACCTCACCTTTGGCCTACTCAGCTTTTGACGTGCCTTCTTCACTAAGCTTAATAATTACTAGTTTTTTATTGAAAGTGAGAGACCTGTGACTGTTTCCCTTGTCAGAAAATTTAGAGGCCATTGTAGGGTCATTAACTGACATAATGTCAACATTGTTGTGTCTCAGGAAATAATGAAACTCAGGGATATAAAGAGATTTAAAGGAAAGGCAAGTCCGTGGAGCAGTCAAAACCCACAGAACATTTATGTATTCAGTTTGCTGTCTTCTATAGACATATTTGACAGTGTCCCAAAACAATTAAAACAGTAGCATCAAAGATTGCTGATCACAAATCACCATAAGAGATATAATAATAATGAAAGAGTTTTAAATATTGGGAGAATTACCAAAATGTGACACAGAGACATGAAGTGATCACATGCTGTTGGAAAATGGTGCTAACAGACTTGCTCGAGGCGGGGTTGATACAAACCTTCAATATGTAAAAACGTGCAATATCTGCAAAGTGCAACAAAGAAAAGCACAATAACATGAGATGTGCCTATAATTGCATATCCTGTATCATCTGTAACTGAGCTAAATATTGTTGGCACCGGGAGAAATGTGGCCTATAATATATAGTTTCCTATTTGCAAAAAAAAAAAAGTATGTTTAAACATGAATTAATATAAAGTTCCAAATAGCAAATAGTAGAAGTCTTAAAGTGGAAGTAGAAATGATTTCAGTGTTTCTGCCTGCAGGTCAAAAACACAAACCAATACATTTCCCAATTGTTTTTTTCAAGCTTGAATATAATTATTCTTATTTTACCTGAGGATCCACATCCTGATGTAGGCTGCTTCATTAAGATACTAGAACTCTAATAACAGAAAGATTTTCTGAAAGCAGATTCAGCACTCCATGACTGCATACTGACAGATGACTTTAGCGTTGCACTTCACAGTCATGATTGTGGTGGTTTGTCTCTTACTCAGAGTTTAATGGTCCAAATTTAGATATTATTATTCATGTGCACCCGCTACACAGAAGACATAATAAACTACCGTCTTCATCTTGTATTATTATATTCCATCAGTTTATGATGAATCACCAATTAGATGAATTTAAGTAGTTTTCAAATGTTATTAGCCATATCAGAGGTAACTTCTGTAAGTTTTTATGTGATTACTTTATTCTGTTTATACCATAGCATATCTATTTAGAGAATTCAAATATTAATGAGCTAAAAATGAGGGCTTTTTTTTCAAAAAAAGAAAGAACAATAGAATTGAGAAAATAAGAAAATAGGTAATAGGGTATATGAAGAAAATCAATATATATAAAATGTATTATTAAGAAAGGTAAAACAAACTAAATCACAATGTACCTAGATCTTGGAGCTACCTCTAATTTTGTTTCACAGGATATGGGTAACTGGAAAAGGGAGTCAAATCAGGTTGTTCTGTTGACATACAGTGGAATGAGATTATCCTATGTATGGTTAAACTTGTATATACTGTGCATTTTAGAAGATTAGAAGAATAAACCTCTAGTACAAGCTGGTTATCCTCCTTCCAAGTAGGAGCAGTGTGACAAGAAAAGAAGTTCAAGCTTGTTTTGTATAAACACCAAAGTCTTTGCATATAAAGAGGCATGATTACACTTTTAATCAATGACTCAATTGATCAAAAGCCATACAAATACACAGATCCTTTTAGAAGTGTGTCAAAGGTAATTTTAAATGAATTTATCTATTTTTACAAAACATTTTTATTTATAGTAGGAAACTTTGTAGATACAAATAAGTCAGTACATCTTTGAGGTAAAAGTAAAATTTAGCCCTTACATTCTAGAATTCTGAATATGTGTAAAGTCTGTTCTGATCTTATTATGCCCCCTGTGTCATTCTTCTTTTTATAAAGTCTTGGGATCAGAAAGCTCAGCCCTAGGTCCTAGGGTAGAAAGCTCATCACCTAGGTCCTACGGTGATGGTCACAGGTAGAATAGGTTTCTTCTTTAGGTACAAAAGATATTGCATAATGTGTGATTGTATTTTGATTTATGAGACTCCAAATTACTTGCTACTAGAGATTGTCAAGAATGAAAATTATTAACTCTGTTACACAAGGACAAGAACAGAAATCAGTATATCAAAAAATATCAGCACTCTGAAGTTTATTGAAGCACTATCCACAGTAGTTAAGATTTGGAAGCAATCTAAGTGTCCATGAACGGATGAATGAATAAAGAAAATTTGCCACATATACACAATGGGATACTATTCAGCAATTAAAAAATAAGAGAACCTGTCATTTGCAACAACATAAATGGAACTGAAGGACATTATGTTAAGTGAAGTAAGCCAGGTACATGAAAAATAGAAAAAAAGAAAACTTCAAATATTTGCATTCATTTATGGGAGCTAATAATTAAAACAACTGAGCTCATGGGGACAGAGTAGAAAGATGGTTAGCAGAGGCTGAGAAAGGTAGTGTTGGGAGTGGTGGTGGGGGCTTGGGGTTGGGGGCACGGTAAGTGGGGATGTACAAAAATACAGTTAGAATGAATATGATGTAGTATTAGATAGCACAACAGAGTGATTACAGTCAATAATAATTTATTGCACATTAAAAAATAACTAAAATATGGCAGTTGTGGTGGCTCATGCCTGTAATCCCAGCACTTTGGGAGGCCAAGGCAGGTGGATCACCTGAGGTCAGGAGTTCGAGATAAGCCTGGCCAATATGATGAAACCCCCTTCTCCACTAAAAATACAAAAATTAGCTGGGTGTGGTGGTGTGCACCTGTAATCCCAGCTACTCAGGAGACTGAGGCAGGAGAATCACTTGAACCCAGGAGGCGGAGGTTGCAGTGAGCCAAGATCACACTATAGCACTCCAACCTGGGCGACAGAGTAAAAAATAAAAATAACTAAAAGAGTATAATTTGAATGCTTGTAACACAAAGAAATGATAATTAAGGTGATGGGCATCCCATTTAACCTTATGTGATTATTACACATTCTATGTCTCTGTCAAAATATCTCATGTGCCGCATAAATATAAACACTATGTACCCATACAAATTCAAAATAAAACAATTTTTTTTTTTTTGAGACAGAGTCTCATTCTGTCGCCCAGGCTGGAGTGCAATGGCATGATCTCGGCTCACTGCAACCTCGGCCTCCCAGGTTAAAGCAATTCTCCTGCCTCAGCCTCCTGAGTATCTGGGACTATAGATGTTGTGCTACCACGCCTGGCTAATTTTCATATTTTTAGTAGAGACAGGGTTTCACCATACTGGCCAGGATGGTCTTGAACTCCTGACCTCATGATCCACCCACCTCAATCTCCCAAAGTGCTGGGATTACAGGTGTGAGCCACCATGCCCGGCAAAACATTTTTTTAAAAGAAATAACACATTTGGGTTTTGTATGATTTGAGATTTGGTTCCTGTATTTCTCAATTATATTTTCTGGTTTACTTAAAATATTAATCCAGTAAAGCATGAGTTTTATTTCATGATAGTTCCTTGAATATTGTCAATTTGTGTATTATGTGTCTATCAAATGTTATTTAATAAAACATTCAATAACTGAGACAATTTTTTCCCAGTCTTTCTTTATAAGTGTAGACTTAACTCTGCAGCAGAACTAACTTGGATATTTAAAGTCTTATATCCCCAAATTAAATAGACTTGTTAGCAGGTATTGATTGAGCACAAGGTCTACATGGTTAAATAGACTAGTATCAATTTTAAGAAACCACAATAAGTATCATATAGTTTAGAAGTAAGGGTTCAGTAATCAAAAATTCAAAAGCTACTGACTGGCTGGGCACAGTGGCTCATGCCTATAATCCCAGCACTTTGAGAGGCTGGGGTGGGAGGATCATGAGGTCAAGAGGTCAAGACCATCCTGGCCAACATGGTGAAACCCCGTCTCTCCTAAAAAAAAATACAAAAAAAAAAAAATTAGCTAGGCGTGGTGGGCGTGCTCCCAAAGTCCCAGCTACTTGGGAGGCTGAGGCAGGAGAATCACTTGAACACAGGAGGCAGAGGTTGCAGTGAGCCAAGATCGTGCCACTGCACTCCAGCCTGGTGACAGAGTGAGAGACTGTCAAAAAAAAAAAAAAAAAAAAAAAAAAAAGCTACAGATTAATTTGGACCTGGGACCTTGTTAATGTATTTGAAGGGTTTGTCTAATTGATAGTCAATCTTCTATTTATTCATTAAATCATTAACTCTCAAAACATTTATGAAAACGACTACTTTGTGGAAAACATATAGTAAAGTGAGATGTAAAGAGCTTGAAAAATCTTAAAATCTGGAACTATAATTCTGGAGACAAAGATAACAAGAATTGCTCAAAAATTCCTGCAAATTGCAAAAATGAGAATTATATTACTTAGCTTTCCTGAAGTGAAAAACCACCCCAACATCTCAATAGCTTACAAAAACAAATATTTATCTGATATTATGTGTTAGAAACGGAAGTCATCTGCTGGATCTCTGTTCTACATGTTGCCTTGTTTCATCGCCGAGGCTGAAGGAGCAATCCCCTTTGGGTAGTCCATGGTCAAAGCAGAGGGAAAGAACAAAAGTACTGAAACAACCTAGCAATGCCCATTAACTCCTCTGCTGAGCTGTAACATAAATCATATCCATTCACATTCCATTGTCCAAACTGGGTTACAGAGCCAAAGCCAAAAATCAAAAGAACAGGGATAAAAGCTCTGCCTACAGAACACATGGAAGTCACTTCATGATGAGTGTGAAAACCCTTACAAGAAAAGATAAGGACTGTTGGGAATAACTAAAGAAATCTACCACAGAAGGATTCTGTGTTTTCCTACCATAGCAGGATTGAGATGTCTCCTCATCAATAGTAACTGTTCATGCTTCCTTTTCATTTCAAGAATTAGGCAATTCCATATTTGTATTATGTTGGCAACTTATATAGAATAAAATCATTGTTAGTTCTGAAAATATAGAAACTGATTTACAGGGAAATTTTTGTAAACTTTATAGTAATGCAGAGAAATATTTTGTGAACTTTATAGTTATTTTTTCCAGTATAAAAGACTGATTAAAGTAAATGAAATTGCTACCAAACTAAAATGTGTTAATTATAAATGTTTGATCCATAAAATTGTATGGCAATTATGAATCCAGGAGACAACAGAGGAGCTAAAATAAGCTCCCTCAAAGAAATATAAAAGTATAGAAAAACATGATAAAATATTTATCATAAAACATATCTCTTATATGTTTTTAGAAGAAGAGAAACAACTAAAATGTATGCTTTTAAGTAGTAGAAAAATGCATAATTCTGCCAAGAATTACAGAAACAATATTCAGCTGGTAAAGGCAAATAAGAAAGAAAAAATATGCTACACATTTAACAAGTCTGTTGTTTTGAACATTATGGTCTTCCTGCTGTTATATTTGCTAAAGGGCATATAACTATTATTAAGTGGGAGCCAAAAAATCACAGAATAGACCAAATGGAGCATATTACTGTGAGTAAATATTTGAGAACATTGAATTTAATATTAGCTTCTGTTGAACAAGAACAGACTTCAGTGTAAGTTATGGATCTGACCACATGGTTATCATAAAAGTTTTAGTTATCTCTTCTGACATCCTAGGGAGAAAATAGAAGGGAAATGCAGAAATAAAAAAAAAATACTTCATGCAAGCTAAGAAATTATTTCTTTAAAATTCATCCACCCATGGAAAAATACTATCATTATATTTTTACCAAATATCCACATAGGAAAATTGTATACATTTATTCCCATATATTTTATGTAATAACAGAGACTAAGAATAAATGCTATCCAAGCCCACTCAAAAAGTAAGACACATTTATTATTCAAAACATTTCCTGAAAGTATAATAAACTTGCCAGATATTTCTTGAGAATGACTGACATACACAGAGCTACTCATAAAATAATCAGAAAAACTATGTAAGGAATAATTCCAGGTGATATTCCACCAAAAAACAGATGGGATGGCTGGTTGGCATGTGATCAAAGGGATATTCATCACATGAAAAAGCCAAGAACCAGAAGATGAGAATCAGGTAGTATTGAGAGAGGAAAGTCTTGAATAGTGGAAGGTGAAGAAGAAAATCCATGATATAGTAATGTGTAGAGAGTGGACATGATGTTCTTTGTATGAGACAAGATTACAAAAGGATAGAAACTATGACTAGGCATGCCTACTGGTAAAGAGCAAAGAGGGCAAACATAAAAAGAGAATTCCAGAGAGTCCAGAAAAGACCTAGAGATAAAGATAAAGAACTATCTCAAGAATTGCCTATGCTCCAGTTCCATGGTCAGAACATCTGTGTGTTAAAAAAAAAAAAAAGAAAGAAATCAAGAAAGCCCTTCCTCCCAGGAAACTTCCATGGATCTCATCCTTACAACCATGAATTCAATTAATATGTATATTTAATATTTTAACTTTTTTTTTTTTTTTTTTTTTGGAGACAGGATCTCACTCTGTCACCTATGCTGGAGTGCAGCGGTGCAATCTTGGCTCACTGCAACCTCCACCTCCTGGGCTCAGGTGATCCTCCCACCTCAGCCCCCCAAGTAGCTTCGACTACAGGTTCAATCCACCATAACAAGCGAACTTTGCATTTTTTTCTCTTTTTTTTTTTTTTTTTTTTGGAGAGATGGTGTTTCACCATGTTGCCCAGGATGGTCTCAAACTCCTGAATTCAAGCAATCCACCCACCTCAGCCTCCCAAAATGCTAGGATTATAGGCAAGAGCCACTGTGCTCAGCTCTTAATATTTTGACTTTTTAAAAATTTTTGATTGCTGCTAATTATCCTGTTGAATTAATATGTGATTTTCAATTTCAAAAAAAGTACAACAGCAAACAAAATTTACAAACTATATTTGGTAATTATACTGTTCATTGTGTGCAAACCCATTGCCAGGAAGAAATATATATTGCTTATTGTGGTGTTGATGATGTATAGTGAAACTGCATTATTACAAAGTGTGGGATAAAGCAAATGGTATAGTGTTACTAACAACCAGGATTACCAGCATGAGAGAAAGGACATGCAAATGCAAGTTCAATAAGATTATGTGTAAGTCCTGTAATTCTAAATTTGAATTGAATGGATCAGTATGAACTTATGCTGTAGCATGCTAGCTCTGTTTACTCAAAAGGTCAAGAATCAGGAGACACAGGACAATCTACTGAAAGAGAATTAAGAGACATATAAACTAATTTAAATGGACTCTGAGTCAAACTTACTCTTAAAAGAATATTTGAGAAATATGAATCCTGATGGAATATTTGATGATATTAAAAATTATGACTATTTTTGTGTGATAATAGTATTGTGATTTTTGTTTAGAGATTCACAGTAAAATATTTACAGATAAATGGTACAATGCCAGGATTTGTTTCCAAAGCCCACTCAAAAAATATGACAAAGTCCTAGCAGGAAGAATAGGTGAGAGGTCCAGGCACAGTGGCTCACGCCTGTAATCCCAGCACTTTGGGAGGCCGAGGCGGATGGACCACCTGAAGTCAGGAGTTCGAGACCAGCCTGGCTAACATAGTGAAACCCAATTTCTACTAAAAATACAAAAAATTAGCTGGGCGTGGAGGTGGTGCGCCTGTAATCCCAGCTACTCAGGAAGCTGAGTCAGGAGACTCACTTGAACCTGGGAGGCGGAGGTTGCAGTGAGCCAAGATCGTGCCATTGCATTCCAGCCTGGGCAACAAGAGCAAAACTCCATCTCACCCCTACCCCCCAAAGAAGGTGAGAGTTCAGAAGAAATATTATTGGCTATGAATTGTTAACTGTTGAGATAGGTGATGCATACATAAAGATTTATTGTACTCTAATTTTACATAAATCTTTGATACCAGAGACAAAGCCATAGGGAACTTCTCATGGGCTAGGCACTGCGCTCCACACTGGATAATGCATTCATGTCCAAAACATGGACCTACCTATTCAAAACATTAACTCCCTTTATTGGTTGTAGGCTTAGGTTCATGCAGATCTCCCTCTGACCACGCCACTTCATCCCTGTCACAAAGTGGCCCTATGCAAAGTGACTGACAATTAGTATTGACTCCCTAAATGTTTTCCAGATGAATTAAATAAGGAAAAAATAATTTAATTGTTTTAAAAAATATTTTATCAAATTAATATTCCTTTATAAATTACTAAATTGGCAATTTGTTTAATAAATGTACACATTATGAGTTCAGCTATAAAGAGTCTGATTCTGTACCACTGAAACAAAACACACTAATTACTTCATTGGTTTCTCTAGATCCTCTCTAATTTTGTTTAATTTAAAATATAATATCATCTACTTTGCACATTATGCTCTAAAAAATACAAAATGTAATGTGTTATTGAAAGTAATATTTCAAGTTGGCATTCCAGATAGAGAATCAAAAACGTACAGGGCATTTCATGATATAGAATCCTTTCTCTCTTGGAACTTAACTACTAGTCTGCTTAAAAAGAAAATGAGTAAGTTTGTATGCATGTATGATGCACGCATGGATGTAGTTATTGTTTACCTCAGGTCAGCCCATTAATACATCACAATAATATTTCTACACTGCCCTAATAATACATATGTGAAAAATACACTGAAAGCCTCTCATAAATAACAGAAATGCTAATATCTTTTAAAGACTGTTTATTAGAAATGCACCATTACCTAAACTTGCCTCGAACACTATACTTTGATGGAAGTAGTGTGCACTATTTAATACTTTTCCTAAAGATATTATCTGCCATTTGTCACTTATATTGTGGATACAGGTTAACTTTACAGTGGCTAGGTTAATTTTGTGACATTGAGAGATATACTAATGGCCTTCTCTATCTCTTTATAAATCTTGATTTTTAAGAAACATCAAAGAAGACATATCAGAGAAAAAAAACTTAGAATTAATAGTAATAGCTGGAAAAATTAAAACTTACTATTTGATGTCTTTAAACTTAGCTCAGATCCACAACTTTATGATAAATATCTCCAAAATTTGGTGGAAATGCAATGAATAATAGAAAATAATTAATCTTTCCACAAAGGACAGGTAACCAGAGATTAATAACCTGAATTATGGATCTTCTGTATCAGAAAGAGAAAGACTTAATAAAATTTTAAAGATATTAACTCAGTAACTCATGTTAAAAATCTTTCTAGACTAAATATGAGAATTAACTCTTCATATAATATCATACAGTTGAGAGCATGTTAGGTGAAATCATTAATGTTCTTTTCTTGTTGGATAACTAGTAACATTTATTATGGGAAATCTCTCTGAATGCCAATCTCAGAAACGCTCATGTGCTAATAAATCGAGCAATAACCAGATATTGAGAAGAATTCTTTTAACTACTAAATTATGATGTAATTAAATAGTACCACACCAATATTTTTATGTAAAGTACTAAAATTTAAAAATCTAGTGTGTATTTCCCATCATGAAAATTAGTCTTTTCTAGGCCTAATTTTATATATTTATAGAAGAGTTTTTGTACCTCAAAAAAATTAGAGTAACTTTGCATTTTGAACTGAAGACAAGGAGCTACTGCACTATGCTATTTAAAACAAAGTTGAACATATAATCAAACAATAAATCAAAGTATAATTATTTAAAGACTTAATACTAATAGCTGTTTTGCCATTGACTATAACATTCATAATTTCTGCAGAATTATTCAGTTCTTGTAAATTCTTACAATAATGTATACTTTCTGAAAAGGTCATGTGTATCCTGGAATCCATGGAGTTAAATTATGTCAATACTTTACCAAAATGTGCTGAGACATCAAGGAGACTGGAAAGTATAATCAATACAATAGACTAAAGATCCAAATCCATGGGCTACAGTTAGAGTCTCATTTGTGACAGCACTGTCTTCATCCAAAGTCATATAAACCTCAAACTAAAAGTAATGTTCCCTAAATTGAAAATGAAAAAGGGTTGTTTCTGAACTGAAAAAGTACTCCTGATACAGAAATAAATATAGTAATAAGATCTTGATCAAAGAATAGGTACACATATCTAAATTAATGTGTTCAATAAAATCACTGACTCTTTAATCAAAGAAAATGATGCAAATATCTTTCAAGACTTGTTCACCAAAAGCTCTAACTGGAGATATTTTATTGAGCACTATTTGACATACACTGCTATGTGCCATATTTATGTAGCTTTACTTCATTAGAGACAGACAGAAGGAAAAGGGGAGAAAACAGAGGACACTACAGTAGAAACAGCTGCCTTCTCCTTGTGTTTCAGTTATTCCTTGACAAGCCAGTTTAGTTACTGAATCAGCTGTTTCAACAGTTTTTTCCTTAGCTGTTGTTGGCATCTTCATATTTTATGTCTTCTTTTCCCTGTATTTTTGTCTCACACACACACACACACACACACACACACACACAAAATATCTCCATCCTATGCTTCAATCAATCTAGATTACTTCTACTTCCAATTCAATTTAACAAAAATTTATTATGAATTAATCTGCTAGACGTAAACTATAGGTCTTTTCTTCAATGATTTTATAGACTTGTAACTCAAAAGCATTACGCTAGAAATATGGGGTCCAGATGACAGTATTTTATCTACCCTGTTTTTTTGTTTCTTTGTTTGTTTTGTTTTTGTTTTTTGTTTTTTGAGGAAATGACTCACGAATGAAAATTTGTAAGAGAGTTTCTTGTGGACAAAAAAGAAAAAGAAAATGAGGCAAATGAAGATCCCTTGGGAGCCTAAGCCAGCAATCCAGGATGGATACAATGAGGGTCTGAAACTGAGCTTGGATTGTTTGTTTAAAATGTTAAGGGTAACAGGCTTTTTCAGGAGTTCACCCTGTATTCAAGGAGTGGTACATGTACATAAATACAACATGAGACAAAATAGTAAGAGGTAGAGCAGAGGGAGAACATGGCAAAGCAAGTAATTCTGCTTTTTGAAGAGAAACAGGATGAGCTTTTATTACTAGTAGTTTCACAAAGACAGTTATATTTGAGCTAGGTCTTAGAGAATCAGATTTTACCTACTTAGAAAAAACAAAAAAAGGAGGAAGATGAGGAAAATGTATTCACGGCTCTGCATACTTGTAAAGTTTCCACTCTAGATGCCATCTCAATCTATATGCTCTCTGTGAGCAATCACATAAACTCAGATAGCCTTAGCCCCTACAAGCCTTACAACCATACTTCCTGCATTAATTAGCATTAAACTGTGAGTAGTAGAAAGGGTAATATAAAAAGCAAAATATTTTGGACTTTAAATAAAATATGTTTCTTTCTTATACATATATAAACTAGTAAGGTGGCTGTGCTCAAAAAAAGTCTTCCAATATCTGGACTCAGAGATCCTACATTGTGTGTGTGTATGTGTGTGAGGAAAGAGCAAGGAATAGAAGGGTAAATGAAACAGACCATCAATAACTTAAGTGAGCTTTCAGCCCCATACTCCTACTCACATGGCCACATGGCTTCAAGGTAATCTTCACTCTCAGACACTACAGGCTCAGCTAAAATATCTACTACTACCAAAAAGGGGAAGAATTGTTTCTGGAAAACAACTACAATCTTTGCCATAATCTCAAGATCGTTTTCTGGGCCACCAGTCTAGAATTTTCAAGGCATTCTATCTCTCTGACCTTATCTTCCCTAGATTCCTTCTCTGCAGCCACACTTGACCCCTTGCAGTCTCTCAAATATGTCCCTTCCGTGCAGGGCCTTCATTGCTTTCTTTTACCTGCCCACATATCCTTATGGTTTTCTCCCTCAGTTTCTTCAGATATCTGCTCAGAGAGGTTTTTTGTAACCAAGATTGTAAAATAGCGCCAAATACCCTCCCCATTTTATTTTTCTTTGTATATTTTTGTACCACCTCATATAGAGTATACATTCATTTAATTGCAGCCAACTTTTACAATATAGGGTCCACAAAAGCAGGAAAGTTGTCTAGTACAGTAGTTAGGCCATAGTTAGGTGTTCAATACATATTTTTTGAACTAATGCATAAATATCTAATGGTCTTCATAGCAAAAACACTTCCGTATCTCAAAGACATGTCTTCAAACTAAATTAATTAGTGTCTTCATAGATTTCGCTCTTACTTGCTAATATAATGATTATTCTCTACTTGCAGTCTCTGTTAATAAGTCTCTCCCTCCACTCTTTGAAATCCCAATGGAAACATATTGACTACTTCATCTCCATTATAACTTACAGCTTTTTATTTCTCACATCCTGTCTATTCTACCTCCACAATGCCTGTCACATATTGTTTTACTTTCATCCATTCCCATTATTATTACATTAGTTAAGACTCTAATCATCTCCTACTTCAGAAAGTCTTTCTGTGTCCAAAAAAAATTTAAGTTAACTAAATTTAAAAGCTTCCAGCTGATTCTTTTTCTCTGCTTTCTCATGCCTCCAGTCCATCTTTCTGCTGTTGGTATTTTCTTCCTAAAGTAAAATTCACATCATGTCACCTTTCTTCATAATTTGTGCTGGACCATAAAAGGAACCAAAATTCCTTAAACCTTTGAGATTTAATGAATACCTTAATATATGTTTCTGTGAAATTAATGACCAAGAATAATAATAACAAAACACATCCTTTAGCTAATAAAACATATATGTGAAATATTTATTTCTGGTCTAGCATCTGCTAGACTAAAAAAAAGGCCATTTCCTCCCCCTCTGTGATAACTTTGGTTTCATCTATTTAGATTTAACTCTTCAAGACCTTATTTAAATACCTACCATCTTATGAAAGCTGAAGAATTTCATTGACTCCAAGCTCAGCTTTTTATCTCAAAGGAGTTCACATAACTACACTGTCTAAATCAGTCTTCCTGGCATATTCAAAATCCTGGCTCATTTATAACCTCCTCCATCCTATTACTGATTTGCATTCTTAACTACAGGTAAGAGAAAACCAGTGCAACCTAGCTTTCAATAGACAGGAATTTGCTGGCTCATATAAATGAGACATCCAATAAAGAAGAAAAGTTGGAAAAAATGTGTCAAATGTAGCATCCTTTCTCTCTCTTTCTCTCTCTCTCTGTTTTTTCACCTAGGCTTGTGCCATAAACCTTCTTCTACATCAGTTACTGTGGTTATGGCTGTCTTGTTGGCTGAGCTCGAGCTATAGGGTCTATCCTTGGACACAAAGGATGGAAGGCATCCTATCCAAAACACAGGGATCTGGGATTGGGGAAGAGATGGGTCTCTTACTAGGAGGCTGGCTTAATGGGTAAAAATTACAGATGTCTACTACAATCATTAAACATGAATGGATGCATAATGTACTCAGATTTTTTCTTGTACAGTTGTATGGACCCCAATTTTTTTTTGACATTTGAAGGTTTGTGTCTTAACTATTAGTTTTATTCCCAGTTCATAATGTAGTGAATAGCATTTTATAAGAGCTCTCTTAATGTCTACACAGTTTAAATCAATTTTTAGTAGATCTTTTTTTCATATTATTTTTATGCAATCATGTGTTTACCAGAACAAATCTGGAAGAAAAATGGCATTGGTATGCTCATTTGCAGACTCGGGGAACAGAAGTATCTTTCCCACACATCAATTTTATAGCATAGCAGAGTCAACCCTAAAACTCAGGATTTCTAAATACTCTTTCAATTTCAAATTTTGAACTATATGGTGCCACACTACCATTAATCATAATGAATGTTATTTCCCCCCTTAAAAATAGCTTGGATTGTGGGATGAGACGCAACTGAGTTTGAATCTCAGCTTTGAAATTTTATAATTGTGTAAACCTAACCTTGCAGGGATAATATTGACCCTCACCTTAATATCTGTTTGCCAAAATAAAAGAGATAATGCAAGTCACACTTGGCACTGTGGCTGTCACATAGATGGTGTTCCTTTAAGGCTTTCTATCTGCACTAAAATTACCACCACCACCTCTGCCACACCACTGCTGGTATTCCTATGACAACTGCTCTTGTTAACGATTACTGCTGGACGTGAAATTATGCACCAATACTCAGCATCATGTAATTTTCTTAAAAAAAATCAAAATTATGTTTGCCTTTGTTTCACTACAGCAACGCAAGATTGCTTAGCCCTTTTTCAATATCCTTTTCTCTCCTGAAACCCCTTTATCAACCAAATTATGAGATCTGAGATACTAATCGCTTGAGATATTGTTGTTATCTTCTGTTAATAAGAAGCAATACCTCACAAGCTAGTTTGAATTTACCTAAAAATGAAAATTAAACTACTCTAAAATAACATTATGTTCATATAATTTTAATAGGTAGCAGCTTTTGCCATCATAAGTTTATCAGTCACTGTTTTCCACATGAGATTGAGGTAAGAGAGAGACCCTCTCATATTGTTTTACGTTGCTTTATACTCAGTACCTGTTTTAAGGAAAAACAACAAGGAAGTAAAACCAAAGACAGGCAGCCTGGCGCCAGGCCTGAAACCAGGCCTGGGCCTGCCTGGCCTAAACCCAGTAGTTAAAAATCAACTCATAACTTAGAAACCAATGTTATTCATAGATTACAGACATTGTATAGTAGAGCATTGTGAAACTCCCTGCCCTGTTCTGTATCTCTCTGACCACTGGTGCATGCAGCCCCTGTCACATACCACCTGCTTGCTCAAATCAATCACGACCCTTTCATGTGAAATCTTTAGTGTTGTGAGCCCTTAAAAGGGACAGAAATTGTGCATTTGGGGAACTCGGATTTTAAGGCAGTAGCTTGCCGATGCTCCCAGCTGAATAAAGCCCTTCCTTCTACAACTCGGTGTCTGAGAGGTTTTGTCTGCGGCTCGTCCTGCTACATTTCTTGGTTCCCTGACTGGGAAGCGAGGTGACTGATGGATAGCTGAGGCAGCCCCTTAGGTGACTTAAGCCTGCCCTGTGGAGCATCCCTGAGGGGGACTCCAGCCAGCCTGAGTGACGTGATCCAAAGAGCGCTCCCGGGTAGGAAACTGCCCCAGTGGAACACCTCGCCAGAGCAGCGCACATAGCAGGCCCCCGAGGAGGATTAACACAGTGGCTGAACACCAGGAAGGAACTGGCACTTGGAGTCCGGACATCTGAAACTTGGTAAGACTAGTCTTTGGAACTTGCCTCACTCCATCTGAGTGGAAGCGTGGCCTGATCACCCACAGCGTGCCTGCATTGGCACTCTTGTTCTGGTTTTGACTTGACTTGAATTGCTGGATACTTTGGTTTTGGTTTTGACTTGGCTGGAATTTTTTGATACTTGGATTTTGAATTTCATGATTTTGGTTTGGTATAAACGGTAGAAGTGTGTGTGTGCCCTCTTTACCTGTTCTTTGTCTTGTGGTATGTGTGGTGTGAGTGTGGTATTTTGTCTCGGGAAAAAAAAAAAAAAAACAACGTGGGTCAGGCACAAAGTAAGCCCACCCCACTGGGAACTATGTTAAAAAAAAAAAAATTCAAGAAAGAATTGAGGAAGCCTGGACAGGTCCCTTGTTTCAAAGGTATGGCACAAGGTAACCTGTAAGCCAAAGCACCCAGACCAGTTTCCGTACACAGACAGTAACAGCTGGTTTTAGACCCCCTTTCCTCCCCACAGTAGTTAAAAGAACAGCAGTATAAGCAGCTGGCAGAGGCAGCAGAGAGAAAAGGAAAGACCAGCAGAGAGAAAAAAAGGCCATCTAAACCAATTGTAAGTTAATTTAGACTAAACAAGGTCTTATTAATAGCAAAGGATAATTGAAATCCCAAACTTACAAGGTTTTCAACAAAAGTGAAGTTTGCTAAAAGTTAACAGTGTAACATGTATTATGGTAACTTCTAATCTTGTGGCCTTAGTCCCAAAGACATAAAGAAAGTTTGCTTTAAAAAAAGGAATGGTTATCTTCAAAAAAAAAAAAAAAAGGGGGGGGGGGCAGGCAGAATTTAGGTAAAAAGAGTGTTATATGGTAAATTCTTGTCCTGAAATAAATTAACTGGTTGTTTAAAGAAAAAAAAAATGTTTGTAATAAGTCAGAAAGTTGAGACATGTTGAAAAATTGTCGGCGAAAGTCATGAAAGAAAAAATGTTATAAAAATTGTATGCAAAAAATGTTGTATAATTTAAAAGTAATAAGGCCTCCTGAGTACCATTAAAAAAAACAGTTTATGTGCGAAGTGTATAAGAAAAGTAAAATATACCTTTGGTAAAAAGATTATAAAGGGGCATAATAATGTAGATTTTTACCTACATTAAAAGGTTAAAAAAATTATTGTTTTAAAAGTTTAAGCAAGCTTTAAAATGTTAATTATAAAGAAAATTCTGTGTGTAAACATATTAGCTAAAGTTAAAAAGATATCATCCAGTTTTTCTGTGAACTGGACATTAAAGTAAAAATGCAACAAGTTTTTCTTAAAGCATCAACCTGCTCTTTAACAAAAATTATAAAAGATTAAAGAGTCTATAAAATCTTACCTTATGGTCAAACATGAAAAATTGGATAAATATGTCTACAAGGCTTTATTAAAATTAAGTTTAACATTAATAACACACTAATATAAAGGTAAAATTTAACTTATCTGGCATAAAAATCACACAAGAAGCATTATTAAATATAAAATGGTGTTTAGCTTTCTTTGGTCTAAAAACTAATAAAAATAGGTGCTAAAGGAAACATTCATTTTACTAGAGGATCAAGAAAGTTAAAGACTTAAAACAAACTTCGGCAGTTAAGACAGCATACCAAGATACAAATGCCTGGATGAAATGGATCAAATATTCCATCCGCACGTTAAACAAAGCAACTGTTATGCTTGTGCACATGGCAGGTTGGCAGGTTAGAGACCCTGATTGTCCCCCTTCCACTAAGGTGGTCCTTCAGTCGACCAGGCGTGGGCTGTATGGTAGCTGTTTTCCAGGATTCTACAGCCTGGAGTAATAAGTCATGCCAAGCTCTCTCTGCTGTATCCTGAAGTCCCTGCAGGTCATCCCCGAGGGCCATCCAGCTTCCGTCTCCCAACACTAAGTTCACTTCTTGTCTCTCATGGCAGGGGAGGAGACTTAGCATTCCTTGGAGACCTGAAGGGATGCAGTGATCTTAGGAATTTTCAAGAGCTTATCAATCAGTCAGCCCTTGTTCATCCCCGAGTGGATTTGTGGTGGTATTGTGGTGGACTTTTACTGGGCACTCTGCCAAATAACTAGAGTGGCACTTGTGCTTTAGTCCATTTGGCTATCCATTTCACCCTGGCATTTCATCAGCCAGAGGAAAAAAAATAATAATAAGACATCGTAAAGCAAGAGAAGCCCCTTATAGGTCTTTCAACTCTCACATCTATTTAGATGCAATTGGAGCCCCACAAGGAATACCAGATCAATTTAAAGCTTGAAATCAAATAGTTGTAAGATTTAAGTCAATATTTTGGTAGATGACAGTCAATAAAAATGTAAATTAGATAAACTACATCTATTACAACCAACAGCAACGAGCTTTTCGTAAGTTAAAAAGAAAAACGCATGTCGGCCCCAGCCCTGAGGCTACCTGACCTGACAAAACTCTTTACACTCTATGTGTCAGAAAGAGAAAAAATGGCAGTTGGAGTTTTAACCCAGACTGTAGGGCCCTGGCCAAGGCCAGTGGCCTATCTCTCAAAACAACTAGAAGGGGTTTCCAAAGACTGGCCCCCATGTCCAAGGGCCCTGGTAGCAACAGACCTGTTAGCACAAGAAACAGATAAGCTAACTCTTGGGCAAAACCTAAACATAAAGTGTCCCCATGCTGTGGTGATTTTAATAAATACCAAAGGACACCATTAGCCAATGAATGTTAGACTAACTAGATACCAAAGCTTGCTCTGCAAAAATCCCCACATAACCATTGAAGTTTGCAACACCCTAACCCCACCACCTTACTCCTGGTATCAGGGAGCCCAGTGAAACATTAACTGTGTAGAGGTGTTAGACTCTGTTTATTCTAGTAGGCCCAACCTCTGAGACCACCCTTACACATCAGTAGACTGGGAGCTGTACGTGGATGGGAGCAGCTTCGCCAGCCCCTGCAAAGTGACTCTAAAGAAGATGACAAGCCCTGCTCCAGTCACACCCGGAAGCTGACTGGTCCACGCATGGCCGATGCATCAGAAAACTCATTGTGGGACTCATTTTCCTTAAAATTTGGACTTTTTCAGTAAGGACGTCAACTAACCTTCGTCAGACTGAGAACTGTTCCCAGTATATACATCAAGTCACTGAGGTAGGACAAAAAATTGCTACAGTCCTATTATTTTATGGTTATTATAAGTGTACCAGGACTCTAAAAGAAACTCGTTTGTATAATGCTATTCTATCCAAGGTATGTAGCCCAGGAAATAACCAACCTGATGTGTGTTATGACCCATTTTAAGCCTCCCACGATCACAGTTTTTAAAATAAAATTAAGGACTGGTCCTTTTCTAGGTGACACAAGTAAGGTAATAGCTAGAACAGAAGAAAGAGGGGCCCCCAAAAATGTAACCTTAAAATTTGACACTTGTGCTGCTATTGATAGTAAGCAGCATGGAATAAGATGCCGTTCTGTAAACTAAAAAAAAGTTAAACAGTTAAAAAAAAAAAGTATATCTGTCAAAAATCATATTTATGTGAGATGTGTCAATACTGGTCTTGTGTCATTTAGGCTACTTGAAAAGAGGATTAAAAAAAGATCTTGTTTGGCTCTGCAAAGGAAAAGGCAGCCCCTCCTGCATGAGTGGGAGCTGCAACCCTTTAAAATTAGTAATCACAAACCCCTCAGACCCAAAATAAAATAAAGAAAAATATGTATCATTAGGCATTGATGGAAAAGGACTAGATCCTAGTGTAAACATCCTAATGAAATGGGAGGTTCAAATACGCTCTCCAGAACCAGTATTTCAGACTTTCTGTAATAAACTAAATGTGCCAGTACCAGAGACTCTAGGAAAAACCAGAAATTTGTTTTTGCAATTAGCCGAGCATGTAGCCCAGTCTCTAAATGTCACTTCATGTTATGTTTGTGGAAAAACTGTAATAGAAGATCAATGGCCATGGGAAGCCCAATAATTAGTTCCTACAGATCCAGTTCCTGATGAATTCCCAGCCCAAAAGAACCACCCTGACATATTTTTCGTCCTAAAAGTCTCAATTATTGGACAGTATTGCATAGCTAAAGAAGGAAAAGGATTCACTCATCCTGTAAGGCGGTTTAGTTGTCTTAGGCAAAAGCTGTATAATGGTACCACAAAAACAGTTACATGGTGGAGTTCCAATTACACAGAAAGAAATCCATTCAGTAAATTTCCAAAGTTGCAGACTATTTGGGCCCACCCAGAATTCCACCAGGACTGGACGGCCCCACAGGGTTATACTGGATATGTGGACACAGAGCTTATGCTAATCTGCCTGATCAGTGGACAGGTAGCTGTATAATTGGCACCATTAAGCCATCTTTCTTCTTACTGCCGATAAAAACAGGTAAACTTCTGGG
This sequence comes from Homo sapiens, assembly GCF_000001405.40. Classification (NCBI taxonomy): domain Eukaryota; kingdom Metazoa; phylum Chordata; class Mammalia; order Primates; family Hominidae; genus Homo; species Homo sapiens. Next base: position 91,354,312 of record NC_000004.12, on the reverse strand, counting down.
CTTCCCAGTCTATGCTTCCCACGAAAAATGAAGCATAGCTGTAAGTGATTGGAAAGATGATAAATGGTCCCCTGAAAAAATCATACAATATTATAGACCTGCCACTTAGGCACAAGATGGCTCAGGAGGATATCAAACCCCCATCTACATGCTCAACTGAATCATACGGTTACAAGCTGTTTTAAAAATCATTGCTAATAAAACTGGTCAAGCCTTGACTATTCTGGCCCAGCAAGAAACTCTAATGAGAAATGCTATCTATCAAAATAGACTAGCTCTTACTACTTGCTAACAGCTGAAGGAGGAGTTTGTGAAAAATTAACCTTACTAATTGTTGCCTACACATAGATGATGAGGGGAAGTAGTTGAAAATATAGTTAAAGATATAACAAAACTGGCACATGTACCCATGCAAGTGTGGCACAGATGCAATCCTGTAGCCATGTTTGGAAATTGGTTCCCAGCAATAGGAGGATTTAAAACTCTTATAATAAAAGTAATCATAGTAATAGGAACCTGCTTACTGCTCCCTTGTCTGATACCTGTATTTCTCCAAATGATAAAAAAACTTCATCGCTACCTTAGTTCACCAAAATGCTTCAGCACAAGCATACTATATAAATCACTATCAATCTATTGCATAAGAAGTCATAAGTAGCAAAAATAAGAGTGAGAACTCCCACTAATAAAAAGTGAGAGTCTCAAAGGGGGGAAAGGAGGAAAGAGAGAGACCCTCTCATATTGTTTTATATTGTTGTATACTCAGTACCTGTTTTAAGAAAAAACAACAAGGAAGTAAAACCAAAGACAGGCAGCCCAGCACCACGCCCAAAACCAGGCCTGGGCCTGCCTGGCCTAAACCCAGTAGTTAAAAATCAACTCATAACTTAGAAACCGACGTTATTCATAGATTACAGACATTGTATAGAAGAACATCGTGAAACTCCCTGCCCTGTTCTGTTTCTCTCTGACCACTGGTGCATGCAGCCCGTCACGGACCCCTTGCTTGCCCAAATCAATCACGACCCTTTCATGTGAAATCTTTAGTGTTGTGAGCCCTTAAAAGGGACAGAAATTGTGCACTTGGGGAGCTCAGATTTTAAGGCAGTAGCTTGCCGACGCTCCTGGCTGAATAAAGCCCTTCCTTCTACAACTCAGTGTCTGAGAGGTTTTGTCTGCAGCTTATCCTGCTACAAGATGTTGAAATTGTCCTTTGCATTTGCTGTCCTGCTGTCTGGATTACAGTTCCCCCAGGTTTTCACATCGATTCCTTCTCTCCATTCTTGTCTCTGTTGGAAGAACTTCCTGGCCACCCTATCTGATGCAGCTTTCTCTCACCCTCTTCCCATACACTGTCTATTTTTTTCAACATTGCACTGAATATTACCTGATTGTATATTACTATGTTCATTTATAGTTTACCCTCTCATCTTCCCAGTAGACACCAGTCCTGAGTACAGGGATGACATATGCTTGTTCACTTCTGTGTCTCCAATGGCCAGAAGAGTGTTTGGCACATGGCAGATTCTTAATATATTTTGTTAGCTTAGGTGGATTGTCTCTAAAATGGTTAAAACTTCATTCCACATTATATTCCTTATAACATAATTACATATGTCACTTTTAACGGTAAGCATAAATTATTTGGTCTAAGAAATCAGGTTTTATACAGTATAGGCAAGAATGCTTTTTATTTCTAACCTTTATATGAAAAATTGTATGACCCCTGTATAACCATTATTCTGTGTGCTTTTTCAAATAAATCTTCCTGCCGGGCACGGTGGCTCACGCCTGTAATCTGAGCACTTTGGGATGCTGAGGCGGGCAGATCACGAAGTCAGGAGATAGACCATCCTGGCTAACACAGTGAAACGCTGTCTCTACTAAAATTACAAAAACTTAGCTGGGCATGGTGGCACACGCCTGTAGTTCCAGCTACTTGGGAGGCTGAGGCAGGAGAATTGCTTGAACCTAGGAGGTGGAGGTTGTAGCGAGCGGAGATCGCGCCACTGCACTCCTGGGTGACAGAGTGAGACCCTGTTTCAAAAAACTAAACTAAACTAAAATAAAATAAATTTTCCTAAGCCTATTATACAATGAGCAATGTTGTTAAATTAAAAGTTTTGACAATCTTTAGAGAATAATCTAAAGTAGTCAGGTATATAAATTGGTATATAGCTATTATTGAATCATACAAATTGCCTTTGGTTGATTTTTAGTTTTCTATTTTCAGCCTCTTTTTATTTTATCACTTGCAATCAATTCTCAGCAATTTACAATATAAATGTTATCAAATGCCCCTTTGGTTGATTTTTGACCATTGGTACTTCTGTGTTTCTCATTGCATTTCAGCGCTCAGAAGTCTGTTGTCATCATTTATATTATGTACAATTAATAACTGCAGTAGACTATGTTGGAGGGTTCACCAAAGAGGAAACTTCAGATTGGAGAACACAAAGGAATGCAACTTGAAAAACAAAATAGGACAAATGAATATTTTCCCTTTAAAATTGAAATGGTAGAAGACATTCTTTAATTAAAAAAAAATCATAACATTTACATTAATGTAAAAATTAATTTAAAATAGTTTTCTGCCTATTATTATTCTCTCTCATTCTTAAGAGCATCTGAAAAACTGTTTTAAATAAGAACATATCTAAAATGATCCACAGGGCAAAAATATTCCCCATATTTTATATTCTTAAATGATTTAATAAAAACATGATTTAATGTTGGCATAACTCTCGTCCCAGTATACTGTAAAATTTATTTTATAAGTAAGTATTTTTGTATACCAGAATCTGTTTCATGCTTTAGAAAACCAATAATTAGTACTGAAAATAATTTTAAACAAAACAAGAAATCTGTATTCATCTCCATATAAAAAAGTGATACCCAGAGAAGAAACTCAAAGATTAAGAATCTCATTTTTTATCAATAAATATTAAGAAATTAGGATTATTTCATCTCTGAAGGATTCAAATTAAGCTTACAATTTAGTGACCTTCCAGTCACACTTTTTACTTATGTATTTACAAGTAAAAGAATATGTAAAGACAATTGAGTATTGTGCAACATTGATGTGTATTTATAAAATAGCTTTATTTTATAATAAAGTAATATGTGTAGATAGTGTCATGAAGGAAATATTCTCCCCATAATATAGTTTCCCTTCTTCATTTCAGCACATGAAATTAAACAAACAGAGGAAACTTCATCTCAAACCCATCTAACCTAGTCAGTACCATAGTAAGCTGCTTTAAATCATATTTAAAACAAGGTAGAGTACAAATAAATACATGCATGTAAGACCCAAATTAAAGCCCCTCAAAAATCTATTACTTTTAATTTCATAAATAAATTTTTTATTGGGCTTAATTTACTCCCCGTATAAAATAATAATATGTTTTAAGACTAAATTTTTTTGTTTCCTGTCAAAGTAAATTTTTTGATGTTGTTGAAATTAACCATTGTAACATCATTAAAAATATAGCCTACTGTGTGCTTAATACCATAAAATATAAAAATGACAGTAATATTAAGTCTAGAATTTGCCAAAAATTATACATTTATTAATATTCTTAATATTTTTTACCTTTCCTAAATCTCAGACTGATTCTTATGTATTTGTCAATGTTAAACTATCAACGTTCTGCAGTCAAATTTTTAAACTGCAAAAGTATTCAAAGTAACATGTAGTTAATGTGACAATAAACAAATTAATCTCTTCAATATAAGAAAAATATCTGTGAATGCCATCTATACATCATTTTCCTCTGGTGATAGTTGTTCCCTATTGTTATATATCAGTTAATGTTCTTTTCCTGCTTGTGCCAGAAAATGCATTTAAATGACACTAAAAAGAGGAACTTTGATATGTTAGTCTTCAAACTATTTTTAATAACAATAAAATAATTTAAATGAGCTCTATTTTTGCCAAAAAGCAGGTTTTTAAGGTAAGTATAATAACCAATTTATAAGTATATGCTTTATATAATTAATTTTTCCTTAAAGTTTCAGAGAATAGAAACATATCAGAAGAATTAACACAAAATGCAAACTGGTAGATTCAGATCTAAATTTGTTTTGCAAATTCAATTTAATACAGAAATGTTAAGCCATTTTTAATGATTAAATAAAAGTTTACATGGGAAGCAAAACAAACAAAAATAATACTGTTAATTTATGTATTAAAGGTTTAATTCATGACTTCCAGTTTCCAATATGGCATGTAAGAACCTTGGGCATCATCACTCCCATTCTCACTACAATGAAAAAACAGAACAAACTGAAACTCAATAACTCTTCTTAGATACATCAGAGAAGTGAGGTCAAAGGGCAATATATTGCTCCCTAAAATGGAGAGACACACAGGTAAGATACAGAGAATCACGATTTACTGAAGCAGAAGCCTAGAAGCAGAAACCTCCATGGGAAACAATGCTGTTAGGAAACCCTAAACTGTAATTGACAAATTGCTGAAGGCACAGTGTGGAAAAAATTCTAGGGGAACTCAATCTTACGAGGCCCCCAAACTTTCATGAAATGTACCTCCTACAGCCCAGTTGGGTTCTCTCAGTGAAAACCTGAGAGGAAAAAAAAAAAGAAAAACTCTCTTGCTTCCAGCAGGGGAAGAGAAAAAGTAACCATTTTGAAAGGCCTGACCTCAAGACAAACTATTGTAGCACAGCCTTACCTACTGGGGTTTTACCATAAAGTAAACAAACTGGGAAATGAGAAATATACAACGTTAACCCCCTCCAGACTTCAAAACAGAACTTGGAAGCCCTTTAAGGGTTATTGACTTCTATAAGGTGCACAGGCTCAGTAACAGAAGGAGGCCTAATGTAAGACTTTAGACCATTTGCCTTTCTACAACTTAACCATTACATCAGGAGAATACAACTGAAAGAAGTACATGACTGAGACCTTATTTAAAGATGAATTTGTCTCTTAGGTAACTCAAACCCAACAGGGAAGACAAAACCAAGGAAATTAGGGAAAAATTTAACCTCTGACACCTATAGCTACAGCAAACAGTAAAAAAAACACCCAACCCTTAGTCAAAAACATAAATTGAAAAAAGAGAATCAACATAAAAAAATTGGCCGGGCGCCGTGTCTCACGCCTGTAATCCCAGCACTTTGGGAGGCCGAGGCAGGCAGATCACGAGGTCAGGAGATAAAGACCATCCTGGCTAACACGGTGAAACCCTGTCTCTACTAAAAATACAGAAAGTTAGCCGGGCACGGTGGCGGTGCCTGTAGTCCCACCTACTTGGGAGGCTGAGGCAGAAGAATGGCGTGAACCCGGGAGGCGGAGCTTGCAGTGAGTCGAGATCTCACCACTGCACTCCAGCCTGGGGGGCAGAGTGAGACTCCGTCTCAAAAATAAATAAATAAATTAATTAATTAATTTTAAAAAATCAACAAAATCAAAATCTGTTTCAACCTCTAGCCAGGTTAAGGAAGAAATAATGAGAGACCCAAATTGCTATGATGAGAAATAAAAAAGCAACTATCATTACTGAACCACTGGATGTTAAAAGGATTATAAAAAAATATTGTGAACAACTATGTGCCCACACATTTGATAACCTGGATGAAATGGAGCAATTCCTTGAAAGACACACAATCTACCAAAACTCACATCAGAAGAACTAATCTAAACATCTATTTAAAAAATTGGATCAGTAAATAATAACATTCCAAAATGAAAGCACCAAGCTCAGATGAATTCTACCAATAATTTAAAAATGAAATTACAGCAATTCTCTAGTTTCCTCCAAAAAATGGAAGTAGTGGGAATATTTCCTAACTCATTCTTCTAGGCCATCATTACCCTAATCCAGAACCAGACAAATCAGTTACAAGACAAAAACATTATAGACCAATATCTCTCAGGAACATAGATGCATAAATCCTAAAAGAAAGCACATTAAATCCAACAATGTATATAAAGAATTATACACCATGATCAAATGGAATTTATGACAGGTGTGCAAGGCTGATTCAATATTCAAAAATCAATTACTATAATCCCTCACATCAACGGGCTAAATAAGAGAAATTATATTATTATTTTAATAGATGCAGCAAAAGCATCTAAAAAAACCAATTCTCATTCATAATTCATAAGTAAAACCATCAGCAATCTAAGATTAAATAGGAACTTTCTCAATTTGATAAAAAATCTATAAACACTTACAGCTAACATCATACTTAACAGTGAAAAACTATATGCTTTTCCTGCTAATATCAGGAACAAGGCAAGGAAGTCTGTTCTTACACTTCTACTCAACATCATACTGGGAGTACCAGCCAATGAAATAAGAACAACAAAAAAGGAAATAAAAAGTAGACAGATTGGGAAGGAAGAAATAAAACTGTCTTTTTAAGGTGGTGACATGATTATTAATGTAGAAAATTGCAGAGAATTGACAAAAAAAAAACTACTGGCACTAAGAAGTGATTACAGCAATATTGGAGGATATAAGACTAATAAGCAAAAGTCAATTTTTTTCTTAATACTAGCCATGAAAAATTGGAATTTGAAATGGAAAACATAATACCATTTAAATTAGTACATCTCAAAAATTGAATACTTAGATATAAATATATCAAAATAAGTATAAAATCTGTATGAGAAAAACTACAATATTCTGATGAAAAAAATCAAAGAAGATCTAAATAAATACAAATATATTCTATCTACATGTATAAGAATACTTAACATTGTCAAGATTTCAATTCTTCCCAACTTGATCAATACATTAAACACAATCCCAGCCGAAATCTCAGTGAGTCATTTTGTGGATGCAAAAAAAAAATAATAATGTGTTCTAAATTTCATAAGAAAAAGCAAAAGACTCATAATATTTAACACAATATTGAAGAAGTAAAAAAGTTGGAAGACTGATACTACCAAACTTCAAGATACACTATAAATTTACAGTAATCAAGACAGTGTGAGGTTGATGAAGTAAAAGACAAATAGATTAATGGAACAAAATAGCAAATATAGTCAAGTGATGTTTGACAAAGGAACAAAGTCAAATAAATGGAAATATAATAGTCTTTTCACAAGTGGTGCTGAAACTCAAAATCCACATGCAAAAAATAAATCTACACCCAGACGTTATACCTTTCACAAAATTAACTCAAAATGAACCATACATCTAAATGTAAACACAAAGATATAAAACTTCTAAATGATACCACAGGAGAAAATCTTGGTGACCTTGAGTTTGGTGATGAATTTTTAGATACAACACTAAAGCCTGATGCATAAAACAAACAAACAAAAAAAAACTCATAAGTTGAAGCTCATTAAAACTAAAACTTTTGCTCTGCAAAAGACACTGTGAAGAGAAAGAAAGGAGAAACTATAGACTAGGAAAATATATTTTCAAAGCACATATCTGATAATGGACTGGTACCCAAAATATACAAAAATATCTTATAACTCAAAAATAAGAAACAAACAATATAATTTAAAATGGGCAAAAGTTATCTATAGACACCTCACTAAAACAGATATACAGATGGCAAATAAGCACATGAAAAAATGCTCAACATCGTATGCTATTAGGGAATTTCAAATTAAAACAAACAGATACCACTTTAAACCTGTGAGAATGATGAAAATCCAAAACACTGACATCAAATACTGATGAAGATGTGAAACAAAAGGAGATCTCATTCATTGCTGGTGGATACGCAAAATAGCCCAGCCACTTTGGAAGACAGTTTTGCAATTTTTTATAAAATTAAACACACTCTTATCATAGGATCCAGCAATTGTGCTCCTTAGTATTTACCTAAGTGAGTTGAAAATTGTTGTATGCCCACATCAAAACCTGCACATGAGTATTAACCGCAGTTTTAATCACAATTGCCATAATTCGGAACCATCCAAGATACCCTTGAATAGGTTAATGAATAAACAAACTGTGGTATATCCATACAATATAATACATCCAATGATAAAAAGAAATAAGACCAGGCGCCGTGGCTCACACCTGTAATCCCAGCACTTTGGGAGGCTGAGGTAGGCGGGTCACAAGGTCAAGAGGTCGAGACCATCCTGGCCAACATGGTGAAACCCTGTCTCTACTAAAAATACAAAAATTCTCTGGGTGTGGTGGTGAGCGCCTGTAGTCCCAAGGAGGCTGAGGCAGGAAAATGGATTGAACCCGGGACGTGGAGGTTGCAGTGAGCCAAGACCACACCACTGCACTCCAGCCTGGTGACAGAGTGAGACTGTCTTAAAAAAAAAAAGAGCTGTCAAGCCCCAGTATGATATGCAAGTATCATGCAAGTATCTTAAATGCATATTGCTAAGTGAAGTAATCCAATCTGAAAAGACTATATATACTCTTATGATTTCAACAATATGTCATTTTAGAAAAGGCCAACTATGGACACAGTAAAAAGATCAGTGGTTGCCAGGAGTTTGTGGGGCATGAGGGGAAAGGATGAATAGGAGAGCACAGGGCAATTTAGGGAAGTGAAACTGTCCTACATAATACTCTGATGAGAGTAAATCCATATTATTATACATTTCAAAATTCATATAAGGCACAACACAAAGAATAAACCTTAATATAAATTATGGAGTTTGGTTTATAACAATGTATTGATACTGGTTCATCAATTATATAACAAAAATACTATACTAATACAAGATG